>NC_000012.12:111096491-111248006 GCF_000001405.40 Homo sapiens
AGAAGAGGAAACTGAGGCTCACAGAGGCAAAGTCACTTGCCCGAGGCCCCATAGCCATCCCGTGGTCCTGTCCCTCTTCTCTGATGCTTCACATCCCCGCTTCCCAGCTCAGTGGCACCTCCAGCCTCCTCTTTCCCTCCAGAAAGCAAGGCCAGCTCAGCCACGGGGTGGGTTTGTGAGTTGAGCTGGAATTGTTCAGGAGATCTGGCTTGAAGAAGTTAGTAGGCTGTAATCCCAACACTTTGGGAGGCCGAGGCAGGTGGATCACTTGAGGTCAGGAGTTAGAGACCAACCTGGCCAGCATGATGAAACTCCATCTCTACTAAAAATACAAAAATTAGCCAGGCATGGTGGTGGGCACCTGTAATCCCGGCTACTTGGGAGGCTGAGGCAGAGAATTGCTTGAACCCAGGAGGTGGAGGTTGCAGTGAGCCAAGATCACACCACTGCACTCCAGCCTGGGCAACAAAGCAGGGCTCCATCAAGAAAAAAAAAAGAAAAAGAAGAAGTTGGGAGGCAGCTAAGATCTTGGCTTCAGAAGGTGAGTCCCTGTTGTCAAGATAAAAAGGATTAAATCCTAAAAGCAGAGCCTTGCCAACACATCGGACAGAGCCCAGCACCCCCGAAAGTTCTGCACTGGGCATCCTTCCTGTTCCCTTCTCATGCCTCTGATGGGAGCTCTGGTCCAGATACACCCAGGAAGGTGACATGAGACCCTCAAATGTGTGTGTGTCACCTGAGACCACCAGGTGTGGCCTTGGAGTGAAAACCCATGTTGTTCTGGGCTCAGGTACTCAGATGCCTGTCTTGGGGTGACAAACCCCATCTCCCACTGCTTCCTGTTCAATTTTGGGAAGTGTTTTGGGAAATGACACACTGCTCACCTGCTTGTCCCCAAGCCCTCCATCTCCAGAGAGCAGGATGGGAAGTTGGGGAGGAAGCAGAGGAGCCAGGGTCTTTCTTTTTGGCTTTATTTATTAGCAACAAATACGAGAGCTTAGAGCAAGGCACCAGCAGCAGAGGGAGCCTAAAATGATATTAATCACAGCAGCAATAACTAATACATATTCATGTGCCTACCCGGGGCCAGATCTGGGGAGCTCCTAGATAACTAAAATGGGCTTCTGCTCTCAGGGGGGTCACTGGCGTGAGCAGACCACCCGTGACTGCACAAGACAGCGTTTTCTCACAGCAGCAGGTCCTGCTCGGCAAGCGAGGCGCTCAGAGTCAGGAGCCAGGGAGGATCCGCAAAGAGACTGCAGCGAGCAGGCAGGGGATCGGGGTGGCTGTTTTGTACCTGGGGCACAGCATTGGGCACCAGGAATGGCGTGGGCATTGGCACAGAGAACCCAGGCTCCAGGGCGTGTGAGTCGTTTTGCTGGGTTAGAGGTGAGCTTGGAGTGGTTGGTGGGTGTCAGATCAGACAAGGCCCCAAGGCCACCACATGGAGTTTGGACTTTTCCCCGAGGCTCAGAGTAAGGATTTGGGGAGTTTAGTTCTAAGAGCTACAGGAAGCCATTGAAGGGCGTAAGCTTGGGACAGTAGTGACAGGATCCACTTACCTTTTGCAAAGAAGTCTCAGGCCACCATGGAGAGGAGGGTCGTAGGGGTAAGAACAGAGTCGGGAGCTGGGCGCTGTGGCTTTACGCCTGTAATACCACCACTTGGGAGGCCGAGGCAAGTGGATCACTTGAGGTCAGGAGTTCAAGACTAGGCTGGACAACATGGCAAAACCCTGTCTCTACTAAAACTATAAAAATTAACCGGGTGTGGTGGTGCCTGCCTGTAATCCCAGCTACTTGGGAGGCTGAGGCAGGAGAATCACTTGAACCTGGGAGGTAGAGGTTACAGTGAGCCAAAATCATGCCACTGCACTCCAGCCTGAGCGACAGAGCGAGACTTCGTCTCAAAAAAAAAAAAAAAAAGAACTGAGTGGGAGAGACAGGGAGGAGCTGCTGCAGTCATCGGCCTTGGCACCGGGGATTCCCGGGTACAGGCCAACGAGGGACCTTTCAAAGTAGATACGCATCTCTGGAGGGAGGCCACTGAGGCTGCTGTGAGCTGCCTTGCCAGCATTTCTCCTTTCCATCCCACATCTTGACGCTCGGGGACTGCGGAGCCCCAGTTGACAATATGGTGACATGTTAACGGGGGAATGGCCGGAGGGGACCTATACCCCCAGCCCCAGAGCAGCTCAGACAAGAGCAGGAAGCCAACGTCACCTCCCTCTCTCTAGCAAGGACTCATGTTGGTCTCCTGATTCCCTTTCTCTTCGTGAGTTCAGAGGAGGAGGACAGTGAGCCACGCTGGAGGGACTTGGCCTCGGCTGGCACAAGCTGGGTATTCATTTATTCATGCACTTAGCAGCCGCCCATGGGGCTCATGCCTGGTGCAGGGGAAAGGGGGAGCACCGCAGACTGCCTCCTCCCCTCAGGGAGCCCCCAGACAGGAACGGCCAGAAGTGCAGCATGTAGAACCAGCCTGAGAAGAGCTGTCCCTGAGTAGGAGCCGGGAGGCCTCTGGAGTAAGGATAGGTGCTCAATATAGCCTGGAAGGCCAAGGAAGTCTCCCAGAGGAGGCCACCTACATCATCTGCTCAGTGAAGGCAGGAACTGGGTTGCCCATTCAATACAGGATCCCAAATGCTCAGCAGTGTGGAAGGAAGTGACTTGGAAGCTCAGACCTGAAGGGCGACCAGGTCCTGCCCCAGCAGAGGCAGGAACGTGTGTTCAAGGTGGAGGAAACGGCCTGGCCAAAGGCTCGGAGGTGGGCTTTGTGCAAATCACTGTTCAGAGTGCCTGGGACCTCCGGGTGAGCAGGGTGTGGCAAGAGCTGAGGCTGGAGGCCAGAGGCAGTGCTGCATTTTGGGGTCTAGGCCTCTGAGCTCATAAAAATAGCTCGGTGCTTTCTTAAACCGTTATGTGGTTTCTCTTCTTCCTTCATTTCTTGCCAAGCCCGGAAAGCCAGGTTGGGTCACTGCTGGGAGGTATGAGGTGAGACTCGGGTTTGCAGGCAGGGCAAGTTGTGGGGAGGTGGGGGTGGCCCCCTATTTGTTGGGGGCAGACCTGCCATTTGAAAGCCACCATCCTCATGTGTAGCCCTCACATGGGAGAACAGGATTGGACCTGCAGGGATCCTGGCTGGGGTGAGATGGAGTCTCAGGGGAAGGTGGGGGATGTCTCTGCCAGCTTTGGGGCTCCCAGTCTCTCTGATCACCTATTGGGTTTATTGGGCGCCGAAACTGGGGCCTGCACGGATGGTGTAAAATCAGACCCAGGCAGCCTGGGTCAGTGCCCATCATTCAGAGTGACCCTCTGTCCCCTCCATGCCCAGCGGGGCCGATGGGCAGCTAGGAGGCGAGGGACCGTCTGGCTCAATCGAGAGCCAAAGAGGTAATGCTAATGTCTTTTAAAATTAGAATGAAAATGTTTATTGCAGAGCAGAACCTGCGTCAGCTCAGAGTCCTGTGGGAAGGGAACGGCTTTATCGCAGCCTTTCGCTTTTATTTTTGCACATTCGCTTTTTATTTGCCGGTGGTGCTGCTGACGGGCCCTCGGAGCGGGGCTGTGTCTGGACACTTCTGGGAGCCTTGGACGGCTCTGGAGAGGAGGCAGGAGCTGCCCAGGGTGAGTGCAAGGACCCGCCGAGGGTTGAGAGGACTTGGGGGATGTGAGAGCAGGAGCCTGTGACTGTGTGTGTGTGTGTGTGTGTATGTGTGTGTGTGCTTGTGTCTGTGTGTGTCCTTGTGCCTGTGTGTGTCCTTGTGCCCCTTTGTGTGTCCAGCTCGATGTATGCGTGGCCTGTGTGGCTCTCCGTGTGTCTTTCTCTGCGTGTGTGGTGGCCGCGAGAGCCGTCCATGCATGAGATTGAGTGTGGATCTCTGCCTATCTCTGTGTGTGCACTCATGAGTTGTGTGTGTGTCTGTGTGTCTTTGGAGGTGGCCATGGGTGTGGCTGGGTGTGGGTCTTGGCCCTCTGTGTCTTTCTGTTTGTGCGGATGTGTGTGTGTATCTTAAGGAGACACATGGGTGCGTGACTGGTGGGTCTGTGTGGGTGCAGACACCCATGTGTGCAAGTCAGAGGGGTATGCATGCGTGTGTGTAAGCATGAGTGTACACCCACAAGTGTGTGAATTGTATACATTTGAACATGTGAGCTTGCATGGAGGAGGGTGTCACGTGGCAGAGTGAGTTGTGTGCATGTATTTTGCATGTGTGTGCTACATATGAGAGCGTGTGGACTGAGCACACGTTGCACAGGAGGGTGTGAGCAGTGCTCATGTGCTGGAGCACCTGTGTGAGTATGTATGTGAGCACATGTTGCATGTGTTGCATATGAGCACATGTGTGGGGCACTTCCATCTTGCATGGGGGAGCCCCCAGTAGAGCCCTCCCTGGGCAGCTCAGCTTGCCACCAAGGAGGTCACTGTAGACTCCCAGCCTCTTGCCTCAGCCCCAGCTCCAGTCAGAGCCTGGAAAACCCTCCCCTGTCCCTCTGAGGGCTGTGGCCATTTTTAACCCACCCTATTCCAACCAAGATGGTTTTGTCAAGATTTGCCTTCTGTAGCTTGGGCGATAAAAACAATGGGTGTTTTGGTTTTGGAAGGGGTGTTGCTTTCTAAATACCAAAGCATTTTGTGACACGAATGCGCTTTTTCAAGGTGCACTCACCCCTCGTGATGAGGACCCCTGGGTGACAATGGGTCAGTGCGGCCCGGGGGAGGCTGGTGCCCCAGGATTGGTTCCTGGGATGCACCTTCCAGGAAGGCTGCCCTGAGCTGTGTGGTAAGGGACTCTGGCCACAGCCCTGGAGACTGTCAGGGTCCCCCAGATGGCCACACCACAGCAGCCCTGCATCCTGCCACCTGCAGGGTGTGACCCCCTACAGCCGCTTCTCCAGGCTAGAAAATCCATGCCTTGCAGGGAACCTGGTGGCTGCCGGGCTTCTCCACAGAGCCATGGAGCCAGAGGAACCTCCTTTTGATCTCTGTCCCTGTCCGGCTCACTGTCCCTTCACTGGGATTTGTCATGTTGTGGTATCACCCTCTGCAGATCTGGGTGGGTGAGTGGGTAGGGGGAGTCACATCTTACAAAACAGAAACCAGGTACTCTGCAGAATAGAAGATGGTCGCGCCAGTGCCAGATGCATATCTGGAGCCTGGCTTCAAACACTGTGTGGCCTTGGGCATGTTGCTGAGCTTCTCTGAGCCTTAGTCTTCCCACCTGTAAAATGAGAGTCATAACAGAGCCAGGCTCAGGGCTGTCTCTTACTTGTTACCTTGGGGTCTTTCTGGAACAAGGCAGACTTCCGTGGGCCAGATT
The DNA here is from genome assembly GCF_000001405.40 of Homo sapiens. NCBI lineage: Eukaryota > Metazoa > Chordata > Mammalia > Primates > Hominidae > Homo > Homo sapiens. The sequence goes on from NC_000012.12 coordinate 111,101,812, forward strand.
GGTTCGGTGTGTCCTAGCTATGTGTGATATCAGGCAGGTCACTTTATCTGTGCCTCAGTTTCCTTACCTGCAAAATCGGGCTAAATACAGTACCGACTACATGGGGATGTTGTGAGAGTTAAATTTCTTACTTTACATAAAAGGTTATAGTAAGTACTATAGAGCAGGAGCTATTATTGTTATTTCTGGAACGCCTGAACTCAGATTAAAACGTCCTGTCGGCACACAATATCCTCTTTTTTTAAAATCACACAATGTGTAACCCACTCTTTCTGTAGCCTTGCCCACTGTGTGCTGCTGTCAGGCAGCTGCTGTGTGCCAGGCATCTGGCTGGGCATGCCCGAGGCATCGTGGTATGGGTTATGGGGTGGGTGTCCTGCGTGGGTGGGCCGCGCCAAATGCTGTGCCTGTCTCTCCTCCAACGGTCTGGTGAGGTGGGCAGGGACTCAGGTTAAATCACCCTGGGCAGCAGCCAGGTGTGGGAGCCAGCCGACAAGGAAGCCACCTGGCAGCTCTCCCTCCGAGGGAGGATCTAGCAAGCTCAGGCTTGTGGCGGTTGTGGGCATCCGAGACTGTTTTGTGCACTTGTCCAAAGCCGACTGACATCTGAGCATTGGTGGCAGACAACTGAGAGGAGAGTGGCATGAGATTTCCCCTGAGCCTGGCACCACACTGTGCCCTGAGCCCACCCCACCTTCAACCATGTCACGGACATGTTGATGATGAAATACTCAGGCTCATTCAGTGAGGCCCTCTGCCTGGGCCAGGCCTTGTGCTGAAACAGCTTGCATGCATGATCTCGTCTAGTCTTTGTAGAAACCCCTCAAAGTAAATCCTTATTCCTATTTTATGGGGAGAAAGCTGAGGCTTGGAGACATTTTGGAGTCTTCCAAATCTGTGTAGAAGTTCTAGTTCTTCCAGTTGCCGAGTGACTTCAGGACAGCTCCTTAACCTCTCTGAGCCTCTGTTTACCCACTTCGTAGTGGGTAGCAAAAGTTCAATGAGACAGTGTAGCTAAAACATTTAGCTTGGCAGTTTGCGTAGTAAGTGATCAAAAAAAAAGCTGTTATTGTTATTACTATTGTTACTATCTTATCTTTTTGCAAGGTGATATTCCTTACCAGTTTAATGATACCAACAAGATTTGAAGTGGATGCCTTGATGTTTACAGAAAGGGGTTATTTTTTAGGAATAAAACACTTTATTTTTATTATTATTAGCAACAGATAATTTTGTAAGTTTCCTGCCTAGAGGGGACACTCCTCTTACCTTGACGGTCTTATTGGATGGGGGTGAAGCTTTTTCTATTTCATGGATTTTTGCCTCCCTCACTGGGATGCTTTGAGCAAAAGGTCTGGTGTATAGTAGATGCTCAACCAATGCTTGTTGGATGGGTGGACAAGCGGTGCACCATGCTCACTGTGGCTAACGGGTGATTGGGTTCGGGAACGACCTGGCAGTTTCCCATAAACAGGGCGCCTGATGGAAGCATCTTCCCTTTGCAGAGTTGTTCCTGGGTGCTGGGAACATACCTTGGAGTCAGTCACTTAACTGAGTGTGATGGCCAGAGATAAAGGAGCTGGCAGGAAACTGAGATGCTATCTCTCAACTCGAAGACCAGGGAATGGGTTAGAGGGAGTGAATATGACCTTGACAGACAGGCGTACATCAACTGTGAGGGAAACTTCATTCATTCATTCATTCAGTGAACATTTCTGTGCTCAGTGCTGGGATGCAAGGAGATGCCCTGTTGGGGCCAAGTGAAAGAAGAGAACTGGTTGATGCATGAATCTCAAATAGACTTTTCAGGGACTTTGTCACACTTGGGGAGGATCTGGGGCCACTGTCTACTATAACAGGCAGGACTCTTACGGTTCTATCTGAGAGAAACTTATCTGGAGTCAACTTAAACAAAAGAAAATTTTTATTGGCTCATGTGACCTGAAACGGTCAGGTGTCTGCCTTCAGGCATGGCTGTATCCAGCTGCTCAAATGGTGTTATCTCATCCTACTCAGATCTTGGCTCAGCTTTTCCCCTGTATGGGTGGGCTTTGTTCTGAGCCAGGATTCTCCCCTGGCAGCTGTTTCACCACCTTGGCAGCTCCCAGGGAAAGAAAGCAGCTCTTTCCTAGGCTTTAGCAAATGTCCTGGGATTCCCCCTGATTGGACCAACTTGGATCCATGCATTTGCCCAAGCCGTTCCGACCACCTGGAATGTCTTTCTTTTACCTAAACCTAACCTATTTGTGCTTTGAGTCCTGCCTAAGCGCCACGGCTACTACTAAAAGCCTCCTCTCTTTCTGTCTTTATTGTTGTCTGCATTTTCTCTCTCTTGGGGCACAATCATCTTTTTTATGTCTTCTAATTCCAGCATGTCCTGGCTGCACCATGTTCATGTTAGGTAGACTAGGGTCCTTCATAGGCCAAAGCTTCCTTTTTCTGCCTTTCACTCTTCCCCCCTCACATAGTATAAAAAACAGGATCCGTGTTGAATGCATGCATGGATTTGGGGCGTTAAGAAGGATTTAATCGAGAAGCCAAATCTCAGGATGGCTCATGGGAGGTTTGTGGGCTAACAAAGTCCAAAGAGAAGCCCAGGAATTATCTTCTGAACCCCATCATTTGCAGAGGGTTCCAAAGCTTTGGATAGTCACACTGGCCAGGTGGGGAGCTGGGAAAAGGGGAAGAGCCTGATTCAAAAGCCAGGTTTCCCTGGTTCAAATTCCAGCTCTTCACCCTCTGGCTGTGTGATGCAGGGCAAGTTGCTTTACCTCGCTGTGGCCCTGGTTCCTCATCTATAAAATGAGATAATTCACACAACATATTGAAGGAAAGGATCTGGCACGCAGTATGGACTGCTGGCCATTATCTTTATTGCTGGGTTGTTTTCAGAGCCGCCAGGCCAGAAGAGGGGTTTTAAAGTCCGTTCCTGGTTACCAGAGGAGGAAACAGCAGCCCATTGAGCTTCAGAGACACCTGCAAGTTCATGGAACACCAAGAGTCAGATTGGCCCCACCTGGTGACCTTGACGCCTTTCAGGACCACCTGGGCTCGCAGCCAGCTGTGGCCCTCAGAGAATGTGGATGCTTCTTTTGAAGAAAGGACAGGGATAGGGAGGGGACCCTGTGGCTCCCATATTGGATGAATGGGGCGTGAGTCTTGGTGGTTCTACCCGAAACACTCTGTTTCTCCCAGCCCGGTTTTCCCAGGCATGCCTTATAACCTGTTCTCCTCTAAGGAGCCGTCCTTGGCTGATCTGTCCAGGGACCTGGGCTCATCGCTATCCCCAGAATTGACTCGGGGGCCACATTGAGGGTCAGGGCCCTGCGCTGGGGTGAGCCCCGTTCCCTGGGTAGTGACCTTCACTGCTTCTGGTGCTAAGATGTATGGCCTGCCTCTCCCCAGGCATTTATTTCTGCCTCTTCAGAAATATTTGGGGGTGATTAAAAGGAAATATTCATTTAACTGTAATGAAATGGGGTTTGGGGGTTTTGGAATGATCAGCCATGGCCTCGGGGGCCCGATGCTGGTTGATTTGATCACTGAGTTGATAGGCAATGGCTATTGATTTCTGTCCGCCTCCTCCCAGGAAGGGGCTGACGGAAGAGGTGACTCAGCAAAGGGGAGATGTTTTGAAATTCAGGAGAGGGCTAGTGTGGGAAGCTGGAAAGCTCTGTGTGTGTGTGTGTGTGTGTGTGCTCACGCACGTGTGCATGTGAGCTCTCCCTGCCTCTCCAGAGCCTATACTGCACACCCCCAGGGAGATGGGGAATGTAGATTGCTTCCTCTCCAGCTGCCTTTCCCAGGAGTATCAGGAGAATAACTGGGACTTTGGAGCCACACAGACCTGGGTTTGAAGCCTGCATCTGTCATTTCCCAGCTAGGTGGTAACCTTGTGCAAGTGGCTTCACCTCTCTGTGACTCAGTTTCCTCATCTGTAAAGTGGGTGAACAGTAATACCTGCTGCATGGCTGTTCAGAGACTTAATTGAGAATTTCTCTAATGGTAATTCATGGCAGCTCTGATTTCACTGATATTAACTAATAATGAGTCTTTTTTTTTTTTTTTTTTGAGACAGAGTCCCTCTCTGTTGCCCAGGTTGGAGTGCAGTGCCATGATCATGGCTCACTGCAGCCTTGACCTCCTGGGCTCAAGTGATACTCCCATCTCAGCCTCTTGAGTAGCTGGGACTACAGGCATATGCCACCACGCCTGGCTAATATTTTTATTTTTAGTAGACATGGGGTCTTGCTGTGTTGCCCAGGCTGGTCTCAAACTCTTGGGCCCAAGCGATCCCCCCACCTCAGCCTCTCAAGTAGCTGGAACTGTAGGCTGGTACCACCATACCTGGCTAATATTTTGTAAGGATAGGGTTTTGCCATGTTGCCTAGGCTGGTCTCAAACTCCTGGACTTAAACAATCCATCCACCTCGGCCTCACAGAGTGCTGGGATTACAGGCATGACCACAGTTGGAACTACAGGCAGGTGTCACCATGCCCAGCCCCAGCTAATATTTTTATTTTTAGTAGAGATGGGGTCTTGCTATGTTGCCCAGGCTGGTCTCAAACCCCTGGACTTAAGCAATTCACCCACCTTGGCCTCCCAAAGTGCTGGGATTACAGGCATGAGCCACTGCCCCCAGTCCTGGCTAATATTTTTATTTTTAGAGGAGATGGGGTCTTGCTATGTTGCCCAGGCTGGTCTCAAACTCTTGGGCTCAAGTAATCCTCTCACCTCAGCCCCAAAGTATTGGAATTACAGGTGTGCACCACCATATCTGGCCTAATAATGAGTCTTAATTCCTGATAGAAATAAGAAAAGGTACCAGGTAGGTGCCAAGGAAGGGGTGATAGATTTTGACTGAGGCAATCCTGGAAGACTTCCGCGAGAAGGGCCTTGAATGATGACACTTCCAACAACATGTGACAGAAAGGGGTGGGACAGAAAACACATTTCTGTTTCAGGAATTCATAGGCACAAAGGCAGGGAGGCATAGAATCTCTGGTGAGATGGAAGAACAGATGCTGTCCATTATGGCCGGGAGAGGAAAGAAGGACAGGGGACAACCTGGGGACAGGGAGAGGCAAGGATGTAGTGGAAGAGAAGTGTTGGGCTTTGTGTCAGCAGCTCAGTTGATAGGGTTGCTGGACAGGCTGTGTGCAGGCAAGGCCCACATGGTGGCAAGATTGTTGCATTTGAAATTCAGAAGCAATGATAACACGCAATGCCACCTTCCATTGGCTGGACAGTGTGTGCCAGGCATTGCGTTAACTTATACCATCTCATTAAATCCACACTTCTGTCCCCATTTTACAGGTGAGGAAACTGAGGCTCTTTGTAACATCTACAGGTGTACCCAAATGTACAGTTTTTGGTGACAGTGGGCCATGTCCCTTTGAATCACACCTAAGGTCTGCCAAGACCCCCCGGTGGCCTTCCTGCTCTGTGGCCAAGCCCACAGGCCCCTCACACAGCCTGCCCACCTGGTGTGCACCTGGAGTCCTTGAGCCCATGTAAGTTTCTCCTTTGCAGGAACTTTTTTGACATCTGACTGGGGTGCATCCATTCTTCTTCAGGATTTCCTGCCTCATCTAATCAGGCAAAGATGTCATGTACATGTCACTTACAATTCTTTTCTCCATGTTCCCAGCTAAGTTCTTCTGTTGCCTCAGGGAGTTCCGGGAGCTGCAGGTTTCACCTGGGGAGGGCCCAGTGCTGCAGTTCCCACCGTATTCTGTTCTTGCTGGCTCTAGGAAGTTGGGAGTATTGGGACATGTGCCCTGGCAGGCAGAATGCCCGTCCTCTAGGTGAGGGAGCAGAGGGTGCAGGGAATGGAAAGGTCTGGGATGGGGCTTCTAAGTTACAGTGAGAAAACAAATGCCTGAAATTAAAATTCAAGAGGATGAAAAGCAAATAAATGAGATAGGGCAGTTAGGGAAAGCTTTGGGTGTAATTTATTTAAACTTTTTTTTTTTAACTTTTCATTTTGAGATAATTTCAAAAAGACTGACAAAAAGTTACAAAAACAGTACAAAGAATTCCCCAGATTCCCTGAATGCTGACATCCAGCCTAACCACAACACAATTACAAAGTCAGAAAAATTAACGTGGCTGAAACACCATTACATAATGGACTGACCTGACTCAAATTTTGCCAAGTGTCCCACTGATGTCGTTTTTCTGGTCCAGAGTCCAGTTCTGGATCATGTGACGCATGGAGTTGTTATTTCCCCATAGTCTCCCTTAATCTCCAACAGTTCTTCAGTCTTCTTTTGTCTTTAATGGCCTTGACACTTTTGATGAAAACTGGCCATTTATCTTGAAGAATGTCCCTCCATTTGAGAATGCAGGGTGTTTACTTATGATTCGATTCAGGTTGTGCATTTTGGGCTACAGGAGTGATGTTGTGTCCTTCTCCATGCATTGGATCAGGAGGCACCACTGCTGTTAACTTTGGTCACTTGCTCAAGGTGAAGACTGGCTGGATCCTCTGCTGTAAAATTATTATTTTTCCCTTTGTAACTAATAAGTGCTTGTGTGGAAACATTTTGAGACAATGTAATACTCTCTGTCATCATTCTTTTGCCCAATAATTTTAGCATGCATCGATGCTTCTTGCTTGAAACAATTATTGCTATGGTGTTTGCCAAATGGTGATTTTCTGTTTCCGTCATTACTTCTACATTTATTAATTGAAGAGCTTTTTTCCTTCTTCCCCATTTATTTATCTATTCAGTTTTTTATTTATATCAGTGTGGACTCAGATTCATATTTTAATCTGTTTCCCCTCTCTCTCTGCCACCTCCATACCCACTGTCTCTACCCACTATCTTTTCTCTCTCTTCCCCCACCCCATCTCCCCTCTCTGTCTCCACCCATTTTCCCCCTTCTCTTTGCCCCACTCTCCTCGCCCCACTCTCCTCTCCTTCACTTTCTCTTTCTCCCTCTCTCTCTCTTTTTTTGCAACTTTTTTTCTTGCTGAAGAAATCAGGCTGTCCTGTAGAGCTTCTGTCCATTGGGTTTGGCTGAGTGCATCTTCATGGTGTCATTTAATGCTCTCCTCCATCCCCTGGGTCTCCTGTGAACTGGTGGTAACCCCAGAGGCTTGATCAGATGCCAGATTGACATTTTTGCCAAGACCACATTGCAGGTGGCCACATGCCCTTCTGGTAGAGGCACACGAGGTCTGGCTATCTCCCTTTCAGGGCATGGAGATTGATTGGTGGGTTCAGGAGCTGTCAGCCGGTCCATCCATTGTCAAGTTTCCCATCAGCTTTTCATCTGCTGGGTTTCATGACCACTGATAATCATTGCCTGGGTCCATGAATTCATTAGGGGTTGCTAAATGTGCTTACGTTCTTCCTGTCCCTCTTTCTCTCTCTTAGCTGGGCAATTTTCTCTACAGGGAAACCGCCCCTCATCAATTATTTGTTTACCCTGAAGGAAAGTATGTTTACAAAAGGGAAGATAGATGCTTAAATCTTTCTCTTTATTTGCTGGTTTTCAAAATAATGAGCTGGTTCCCTAACATCCTCCAAAGGTGGCCTACGAGAGTTTTAAAAAATATCATTGTAAGCCCATAGTTGCAAGTGTAACAGAAGTGTCTTAATCCATTTCAGTTACTGCCCTTATTTATGCTCCGACTGTCCCATCTCTGGCATGTGGGGGCCTCTGACCCCTCTGGACTGCCCCAGCGACCTTGGATGCCCTTCTTGCTTTCTGGGAGGACAAGTTGATCCAAGCTCATTCCATATGTTTCCCACCTCAGTCTTGGACTCAGGCTTTGCTCCAGGGATCCCTGGACTAATGGTATTTAGAGACCACAGTCTGGGTGCTGAAAGAACAAATGTACAAAACATCTGTTATCACACAGGTTGGGGCATTTTTGGTAGTCCACAGTGGATAGGATGGTGGAGAAGGGGAAAGGCAATGGCTTTGATCTTGGATCTCATCTCTTTCCTAACCCAGTTGCAGGTTAATGAGCCACTGGAAACCATTAAATTACTTCTCCAACTTCTTCATTTAGAAAGCAAGGGTGGATCTCCCCCGATCTCTAACAACTTCTTTTTGTTTTTTGGTTTGAGATAGGATCTCACTCTGTTGCCCAGGCTGGAGTTCAGTGGTACAATCATAGCTCACTGCATCCTCCAACTCCTAGGCTCAAGCCATCTTCCTGCCTCAGCCTCCAGAGTGGCTGGAACCACAGGTGCCCACCACCACACTCAACTAATTTTTTTTTTTTTTTTTTTAAGTAGAGACGAGGTCTTGCTTTGTTGTCCAGGCTGGTCTCAAACTCCTAGGCTCAAGCAATCCTCCCACCTCAGCCTCCTGAAGTGCTTCATCTCCAGCTTCTTAATTAGTATTGGCATTTTACTGGGGAAGGTCTTTGAGGTCAGAGACGCCCATAGACAACCAAGGCCACTTGTGATCCATCCATCCCCAGTTGGATGCTACATGCTTTTGTTTTGCTACTTGACATGATACAATCTAGCACAAGGAGCTTGTCACTGCTGTTTGCCTCTTAGCATCTTAGGTTTGAGGGGTGGCAGACAACAAGAGAGTTCACTGAGGGACCTCTTCTTCCCCCAGCAAATCCAGACCAGACAAATGCCATATAATATCCCTTCGCCAGAGTGACTCAAACATTAATACGGGCCTCCAAGTGTTACCTCTGCCTTTATCTGAGCAGGCTGCATTCTACATTTGAGGTTAAAACTCACATTTCATTTTTATATGCTGTGCTTAATCCAATAATGATTTCTTGTTACAAACAGAAATAATATCTTTCAGCATAGTTAATCAGAATAGACTTAATGCTGTCACTATTTATTAACCTTTGTTGAAAAGCAAGAAGTTTCTCTCTAATCTGTGATTGCTGGTCTTGTCAGGCTCTATCAAGTGAAAAAACAGTTTTGGCATTCATTAAAACAGTGCGAATCCTGAAATGACAATTGGAGCTGGATGGTATTTGGTGCATGAAATCTTCGTTGTGTTCACCAGGATAACTGAGAAGGCTGGGGAGGCGTGAAGGGGGAACCCACACGTTCAAAGGACTGAGTGTTTCATCCCCAAGTCCCTCTTGGATAAAGAAACTGTTCTTACGAATTGGGAAAGTGGGGCAGAGGATGGGGTGCAGGGGAGGGGAAGGGTGAGGCCTGCTGGTGCCTCTTGCCAGAGAAACATCATTAGTTCAAGACAATGGCTTTTGGCCAGGCACAGTGGCTGACGCCTGTAATCCCAGCACTTTGGGAGGCCGAGGTGGGCAGATCACCTGAGGTCAGGAGTTCGAGACCACCGTGGCCAACATGGTGAAACCCCATCTCTACTAAAAATACAAAAATTATCTGGGCATGGTGGCGTGCACCTGTAAACCCAGCTGCTCAGGAGGCTGAGGCAGGAGAATCGCTTGAACCCAGGAGGCGGAGGTTGCAGTGAGCCGAGATTGCATCACTGCACTCCAGTCTGGGTGACAGAATGAGACTCTGTCTCAAAAGAAAAAAAAAAGAGAGACAATGGCTTTGAACTTGGATCTCAGATGCCTCATCTCTTTCCCAACCCTATCCAGCGCTAATGATCTACTGGGAGTCATTTATTCACTTTTACTCCTCCCCACAACTTCTTTTTCATTTAGTAAACAAGGTTGGGTCTCCCCGATCTCCAAGGCCCACATTCAGTTGGAGTCCAGTTGAAGATGTCCATCAAAGCAAAATGGCAGCCATCAGATGTCAAACTTCTACGTTAATAGAATCCTTTGGCAGTGATCTCAACTGGTAGTCCTCAAACTTCAGCATGCATAAGAATCTCCTAGAGAGATTCCCCATTCCCAGGAATTTAATAGGCCCGGGGGTACTTGAACTTCTGCATTCCCAGGTGATGCTGATGCTGCCTAAAGCACACCACACTCTGAGTAGCAAGGCTCTGTCAAATAACAAGAAAACCCAACAGTACAGTTGGCCAATTGCTGGGCCTTTCTGGACTTGAATTACAGAGTTTGAGTCTTGCTAACGGCAGCAAGTCCCCTAAAGGCAAATTTGCCTTTAAAAAAAAAAGAAATGAAAGCTTTGAACTTGCAGAAGCCTCTTGCAAGGGGAAACGGTTCTCCCACGGGGCTTCTCCTTTCTTTTTCCCTCAAAGAACCCACAGACATGTTTCTCAGGAAGTCCCTGTGGGGTCTGTACCTCCCAAAGGTGATTTGGAGAAAAATCTAATCTAGTAAAGAAGTCCTGATGCTGGGAGGCCTGGGCGGGATATTCTGCTAAGCAAAGAAAGTGGTTGCTCAGGACTTGGGTGAGGGATCGAGGTCTGTGGCCAATTGATCTCTCCTCTCACAAGAAGGGTCGAGTGGCTCAGTGAGTTTTGCCCATGTCAACGGGGAGGTGAGCAGGTGCTGTTAATTATTTAGGAAGAATTAAGCAGTCTGGGTGGGTGGGTTTTATGCTCTGTTTGGTAATAAAGATTGCTGCAGAAAGGAATTTTAAAATTCAGTATTCTCATTTGCCTCATATTGCAAAGAAGCCGAACCTGGGTTTGACTGGTGGAAGCATCTGGAATTAGTGAACCACCTTCTTACAGTGCAGAAATCAATGTTTGCTGCATTAATTGCATGATGCTGAAACCCCGCTTTTTATTTCTGACTCGCAGAGCTATGGCCTAAGAAATCTCTCTTAAGCGGCGTTCTGGGGCTTTTGCTGTTTCCTTAATCTGTCTGGGCGTGGGGAAGGAATTGCTTCATCATGGAGGTGTGACACAGGGGGACGTGGGGGGAACTTTTGGACAAGCTGTGTGCTTTGGGGACCTAATGGGGAGGGCCTGGGAAGCCCACAGCAGGACTTGAGGATCTGGCTTCTCTTAGGTAGCCGTACTCTGTCCTGACTTCCATCTCCTGAGAGTTTCCAGCTCATCGAGTTCTTTTAGGTTAAAATAAGCCTTAATAAAGAAGTTCATGTTTTTCAGCTGGACAAATGTCCCTTGCTTCTCCTGTGTTTTATATTATAACCCTTTTGGAATGTGGACACCTTGATCCGAGGCATAACTTGGCCAGCATTTTCCTAAGTACTGGGTCATTGGACAGCACCACTGTGCTCACCCCGGCTGGGTTCAGCGTCTCTGCAGACTGAGCCTCAGTGCTTGGCACTTTGGACAGAAAGTGACGCGTATCTGAGGATAGACATATTTGGAGGATTTGAGGCATATTTTATTTGATTTGAGCCATATTTGGAGGAAAGCATAGGAGCTTGCCAGGGAGGGAGGAAAGTAAGGGCATCCCAGGCAGAGGGAACAGCATGAACAAAGACCCTGAGGCCTGGAGCCCCGAAGTTAATAGAGTAGGAGTGATGGAGGGGAGCCGGGAGGGGTAGAGAGGACCCGCTGGGGAGGAGCCTAGGAAGGTGCATCAGGCCTTGACCATCTGACTCAGAACTTGTGATTCTCTCCAGTAGATGGTGGCAAGCCTGGCAAAGTGTCTAAGCAGGGGATGAGATGACTGGTGGAGTTTTAATTTTCATACTGTAATTTTTTTGTTTTTGTGTATATTCCATGAGCTTTGACCACAATCAGAATATGGAACAGTTCCATCACCCCCCGAAATTTCCTTGTTGCTGCTCCTTTACATCCAACCCTTCCCCCACCCCCTACACCTGACAACTGTTCTCTGACCACATTGCTTTGCCTTTTTCCAAATGTCATGTAAATGGGATGATGCAATATGTGATCTTTTGAATCTAACTTCTTTAATTAATTAATTTTTTATTTTTATTTTTTGAGACAGAGTCTCGCTCTGTCACTCAGGCTGGAGTGCAGTGGCACGATCTCAGCTCACTGCAACCTCCACCTCCCAGGTTCAAGTGATTCTCCTGCCTCAGCTTCCTGAGTAGCTGGTACTATGGGCATGTGCCACCACACCCAGCTAATTTTTGTATTTTTATTAGAGATGGGGTTTCAAACCATGTTGGCCAGGCTGGTCTCGAACCCGTGACCTCAAGTGATCCACCTACCTCAGCTTCCCAAAGTGCAGGGATTACAGGCGTGAGCTGCCGCGTCTGGCCTCACTTCTTTAATTTAGCATAACACATTTGGGATTCATCCACATTGTTGCAAGTATCTGTAGTTTTTTCCTTTTTATTACTGAAAAGTGTTCCATTGTGTGGTCATAGCACAGTTTGTTTATTCATTGACCTGGTGAAAGATGTTCAAGTCATTTGCAGTTTCTACCAGTTTCAAATAAAGCTGCTAAACATTTGCATATAGGTTCTTGTTTGACCATAGCTTTTATCTCTCTAGGATACATACCTAGGAGTGGGATTGCTGGATCATTTGATAAGTGCATGTTTAACTTTTTAAGAGATTGCCAAATTTTTTCTAAAGTGGCTGTACCATTTTGCATTTCTACCAGTAACATATGAGAGTTTCAGTTGCTCTACAAGCTCACCAGCATTTGATATTATCATTTTTTTTTCTTTTTCAATTTTATGCATTCTAATAGGGGCATAGCAGTATCTCATTGTGGTTTTCATTTGCATTTCCCTAATGATTAATGATGTTGAGCATCTTTTCATTGCTTATTTGCTGTCCGCATGTCTGTTTTAGTGATGCTTCTCTTCATATATTTTGCCCATTGTTTAGTTGGGTTGTTTGTTTTCTTCTTGATGAATTTTGAGGATTCTTTATATATTCTGGGGATCAGTTCTCTGTTAGATAGGTGATTTGGAAATATTTTCTCCCAGTGTGTGGCTTGTGTTTTCATTCTCTGAAAGTGCAGGTAAAGATGCTGCAGCCGTGAATGTCTCTAACTCTGCCACACTCCAGCCATACTGGCCTTCTTTCAGTTTCTCAAGAAAATGAACCTCTTTCCTTCTCCAGGGCCTTGTCCTAAGCTGTGCCCTCTGTCTGGAATACACCTTCTCTCATATCTGCTGTAAGAAATCTTTGCTTAGCTCCAAAGATATTCTCCTATGTTTCTTTTGGAAGTGCTGTTGCTTTAGCATTTATGTTTGGGTTTGTGATCTGTCTCAAATTAATGTTTGTGTATGATGTGAGATAAGGGTTTGAGGGTCATTTTCTTTTTTCTTTATGGATATCCATTTGTTCTAGCACCATTTGCTGGAAAGATTTTATTTATCACTTTCCATTGTTTTGATTCCTTTATTCAGAAAGCAAATGAGCATCTAGGTGTGGATCTATTTCTTGGCATTTTATTCTTTTTCATTGATCAATATGTCTATCCTTATAGCATTACCGTACTTTATTGATTACTATATCTTCACAGTAAGTTCTGAAATTGGATAGATTAAGTCTTCCAACTTCATTCTTCTGTTTCAAAGTTTCTTTGGATATTCTGTGTCCTTTTAATTTTATGTAAATTTTAGAATTGGCTTTTCAATTTCTACAAGAAACAAACAAGCAAACCTGCTGGTATTTTGATTGACATTGCGTTGAATCTGTAGATCAATTTGGAGATAATAAAATTTCTTTTTTTTTTTTTTTTTTTTTTTTGAGATAGAGTCTTGCTCTGTCGCCCAGGCTAGAGTGCAGTGGCGTGATCTTGGCTCACTGCAAGCTCCACCTCCCAGGTTCACGCCATTCTCCTTCCTCAGGCTCCGGAGTAGCTGGGACTATAGGTGCCTGCCACCATGCCCGGCTAATTTTCTGTGTTTTTAGTAGAGATGGGGTTTCACCATGTTAGCCAGGATGGTCTCAATCTCCTGACCTCGTCATCTGCCCACCTTGGCCTTCCAAAATGCTGGATAAAATTTCTTAATAATATTGAATCTTCCAATCTATGAACATGGTATATCTCCATTTTCTACCCCATGCTCTTCCCCTGCTTACTCTTACTCCTCTATCAGGTGCCAGTTTAAGTGTTATCTTCTCAAGGAGGTCTTTGTTATCTCCTGACTCGATGATCCAGCTCCTGTTATACCCTCTGGTGCCCCCTCTTTTTCTTCTTGGAACTAATCACAGTGGTATTAATAATTATTAATGTGAGTATCTGTTTTGCATTTGTCTCCCCCACTAGACCATAAGTTCCATACAGGCAAAGATCAGGTCTGCCTTGTTCACAGACTAGCACACAGTAAGTTGTCAATGAAGATTTATAAATGAATGAATGAATGAATGAACGAATCCCCTCCTATTCTTTGACATAGATCTGAGAACACTGGCTGTTGTCATTCACAGTTTGATGAATACCTTGGTCTCTGTTTGCTGATGGAGAACCCAAGCCCTAATCCCTCACCCCTTTCTTGGCCTTCTGCCTAAGGCTTAGTTCCTGCTGATATGCATTATATGTTGAGAACTCCTATTCATTTGACAGGTAGATGTGTGTAATTATGATTTTTAAAAATGAAATTATACATCTACAGAGAATTTTTAGGTAATGATTATAATACAGAAGTTTAATTTATCTGGGGGAACGAAAGATGTTGCTTTCACAGCATCAGTCAGAGCATTGGAAAAACCAGTGGTGGAATCTTGATTGAATTAGGCTGTGCTTATAATTAGGAAATGCCAAGGCCTGCAGAATATTGAGAAGTGGTGAGGACAAAGTGATGCAATTAAGAGTCTCTTTTCCCCCCTTTCAGCAGTTTAGAAGCATTGTGTTGTTAACTAATTGGTTTGTGGATGCTACTTGGACTTATAGATTTCATTCTACATTTTGATCCCAAGTCAATATATAGGCCCTGGCATTAATTAAATCCCCAGGGTGAGCATTTCTATGGAAGACTTTAGGAAGAACTTTCTGAGAAGGAGTGTGATTGTTGGGACAAGTTCCCGAGGCATATTACAGGATGTTGGTGATTCAGAGCAAGTTGAGAGAGAGAAGAAGCCCAAGAATGGAGAGTCCTGTGGAGGACTCGACTTTTGGAAGAGACCAGAGATAGTTTACTCTGAATTGGATCTGGAGCTGGTTAATATAAACAAAACAGAAACTCAATTGGAATTCCTTCAGGGCTTTCCTGAAGAGCAATGGGAAAAAAAATCTAACTTTATCACAACCAGAGATCATAATTTCCTCCAACAATAATAGCTTATGTTTCTATGGTGCACTATCTCATTTTAGTTGGAGAACATTCTGGTAAAGCAAGGGCACATACATTCATCCTTATTATTTTCATACCACGGACTGTGACTGGCCTGAGGTTGCAGAGCTGGCAAGTGGCAGATTCAAATGTAAATCATTAGACAGCTAATACTGTGCTCCATTCCTTACACCTTGCCAATGAATTCATATTAATTGAAGTTTTCCTCTTAGAGGCATATGATCTAGGTTGAAAAGAGGGTAAGAGGTTTTAGATGAATGTTTGTGGTTTTGGAGAATATGGTGATATTGCTAATAGTAGTCATGAATTCCACTCATTGAGCAATGTATCAGTAAGTACAGGCTACATTATGCTGCAGTAACAAAAGACCCCCAAATTTCAGTGGCTAAACTTAACAAAGCAACTTTCATACTCGCATGACCCATTCATTGGCTACATGTCCATCATATATGGGCAGTGGACTTGGCTCATCAGTGTCTCTTTAGGGACCCAGGCTGATGGTGCAGCCACCAGCTCTGATGTGCCATTCACCATGCTAGAAGTATGGAGACCTCTAAGGGTCTTGTACCTATGGTAAAATGCTCCACTCTGGAAGTGACACATCACTTACTCATTGGCCAAAACTAGCAACTTGGCCTCATTCAACCACAAGAAGCCAATAAACACAATCTTACCTTGTGCATGGGAGAGAGAAATCCAGAAATATTTGACAAAACAGCATGAATGATGACCATAAGCACTCAGTAAACAACAAGGAGTTCCTCTGACCCTACAACAGACCTCCAAGATGACACTGAGAGCTAATGGTTATTGACTATTTACCACATGCCATGTACTGTTTACCTACAGAGCACTTTTAACCCCACAACAATCCTATCAGGTAGATACTCTGAGTATTTCCATTTCACAGATGAGAGGACTGAGATTCCAAGAGGTGAAGTTACTTGCCCAAGATCACACAGCTGAGGAAGCAGTAGAGCCACTTGGCTCCAGGTATTTGAATGCAGGCCAAGCTTGGCTACAGAACCCATATTATAATAACCCCATTTACTTGATGAGAAATCTCAGGCTCAGAGAAGCAAACCAACATGCCCAAGGTCACACAGCCAGGAAGCAGCAAGTCCTAGTTCCTTTGCCTTACCGTATTTCCCAGGTAAAGGCTGGGAAACCTCCCTTTGCAGTTTCAGTTGGTGATGACCAGACATCCTTCCCCAACTCTTTCCTGTGCAAGTGACTCCCAACTCTTGGCCTCTGATATGAATTCTGTGCTAGTGCTAGTTTATATCAGTTCACTAGAGCCAAATGTTAAATTTGCAAGACTTTTGCAAACTACTTACTAAACACAGATATTCAAAGGTAAGTTACATAAACTTACTAGAGTGTAATTATATTTCAAACCAGGTACTCAAAACTCATCACTTCCTAATTATTTTACTGCATTTTACTATTATATGCTCTTTAAGGTTATTTACATCCACCAAATGTGTATGGTGGAAATACAACATGTTAAAGCATGATAGAGTGCCCCTGTACATCTCTCCCTAGCTGTGCGCTCAGTGATGTCCAGTTGGTAGATTGAAATTGGCCATGATGGGAATATTTACACCCCAGAAATTGGCAAGCATTACCAGTCAGGGCTTTTTTCCCCCTGTAGATCCATTGTTAACCATTTACCAGCATACCACTGCCTGAAGCCCCCTGCCTCCACCATCAAGCTGTACCATTCGCCTCCACCATCAGCCTCAATCCAGGACCACCTGGCCCTCCCAATGGATCCAACTGGTCCCAGGGCCGGACCAGCTTCCATGAGGCTGCTGCATTGGGACAATAGTCCACATTCATCCTTGCAAACATGCTAGACTGATATTCCTCCCCCTAAGACAGTGGTTAGACCCTTGGCTGCCCATTAAAATCACCTGAGAGAGCTTAAAAAAATACAGATATACAGATTTTTTTTACAGGACACACCACCAGAGATTCTGATTTAATTGGTCTGGGGTGTGTCTGGCTTTTGGGATTTTTTCTAAGCTTTCCCACCAATGTGGAGAAGTACAACTCCAAGCAAACTCAGTGTGCAAAAAAACATGGGCTATCAAAGGAGAAAACATGTTAGGAAAATTGAGAAAGTTTGCCATGAGTTAAATCACCCATCTCCTAATCTGGGCTCCTATCAGATTGCAAAATGGGTGATTTAATTCATGGGAAACTTTCTCAGTTTTCCCAACAATAATCTGGAAGGAACAGCAGCAGAGGGCAAACCTTTTCTCTAGAGGGCCAGATGGTAAATATTTTTTACATTGTGGGCCATAGGGTCTCTGTTGCAGCTACTCACCTCTGCCATGGCCATGTAAAAGTAGCCATAGACAATCTGTAAAGGAAGATGCATGTGCAGGGTGCATGCCAGTCCCCATCTATGGTGTCCCTTACAGGGTAGCCTGCCCTGAGATTGTTCTTAAAATCTATGTACATTGGCTAGGCATGGTGGCTCATTACCTGTAATCCCAACACTTTGGTAGGCTGAGGTGGGTGGATCGCTTGAGTCCAGGAATTTGAGACCAGCCTGGGCAACATAGCGAGACCCCATCTTTAAAAAAAAAATTTTTTTTCTTCATTAAAAAAATAGAAAAATCTATGCACATAATTACCTTGAATGTTCCCACTGAGCCAACAGATTAGTTGGGTCTGTGGAGTGTCCCTCTGGCCCCCCAGATTCTTGAAGCAGTTTTAACTGTACTTACTCATCTGATAGGCAAAAACGTTGACTTGAGCATTGATGGACTGGAAGTTCTTTCAAGGGGAGGATCCCATGAGTCTTGTTCTCTCAGTCTAGTGCCCGACCTTTGGGTCTCATGTAACAACAAAAAAATGGTTGCATGAATACACTGAAAAAATAAATAACGTTTACTATTGTTAAAAAACATTATGAACTGGGCACAGTGGCTTGCGCCTGTAATCCCAACACTTTGGGGGGCCAAGGCGGGAGGATCACCTGAGGTCAGGAGTTCGAGACCAGCCTGGCCAACATGGCAAAACCCTGTCTCTACTAAAAATACAAAAATTAGCCAGGCATGGTGGCACGCGCCTGTAATCCCAGCTACTCAGGAGGCTGAGGCAGGAGAATAGTTTGCACCTGGGAGGTGAAGTTTGCAGTGAGTCAAGATCGCGGCACTGCACTCCAGCCTGGGCGACAGAGTGAGACTCCATCTCAAAAAAAAAAATTTTTTTTAAACATGGAGAATTGCAAAAGGGAATAGCCTGGAGAATCCCCACATCCCCATGGCCTTGCTCCATCATGATATTGAAGTCACTCTTTTGGTTGTGTTTCTCTAAATTCTATGAGGACAGCAACTCTCTTCATTATCCTCTATATCATTGCTATGCCCTGGTGTTGTGCCCGGGGTACAACACGTAGTAGGTGTTCGATAAACTTGGGTTGGATAAATGGAAGAATGAATGAATGATGAGCTGGTGCACTTAGATGTGATTTATAAGACTTCTAGGGGGATCACCGGCTATTACTTAGAACTATATTGTGGGTCAAATCACGTCTCCTTCCCCTTAAAACCACAAATAGCCGGGCTTCAGCATCTGCCGTGGACATCAGAATTCCTGAGAACCTTCTGAACCGTGTTGGCTCCCAGGCCCCACTCCTGGGAGTTGTTGGGCTGTTGAGTAGACTGACATATTGGGAAGCCTGGTAGAATCTCACAGGTGTAGGAAAATCTAGCTGCCTAGGGTTATAAAGGATGCCCTTTGTCCTCAACTCCTTTGACACCTTCTCTCTGGAGACCTGCTGAATAAGGAAGGGAGTAACCACAAGGAAAAAAAAAAAAAAGGCAACAAAAACCAACTGGTGTAATTTAAACCCCTTCAAAGTTACCAGGCTGCTGGAGATTAGCATAGAGAAAATATGTCGGGGTCCACTTTGATTTGCAATTTGAGATAAATGCGGGAAACGTGTTTGTGCTTCCTCGGAGAGGATTATGTTGCCTTGCAAGTTGGGTTGTTGTCACTTTTGATTTTAGAATACTTACTTGTGCCTCCAGTAATGAACAAAAACCAAACCACACTGAAACCAGCCCGGGGGGGTCCTGCTGTCTCAGAAGCTCAAGGTATTCCTGTTTCTACTGAATTGCTATTTCCAGATTCCTGCCTGTCACCCGCCAGACTTTTAAGGGTTCTACGCTTGGGCTGCATCGACGCTGGTAGTTTATTTCAGACATAAGCAAATTGTCTTAAAGTTGTTACCACAAAAAAAAAAAAAAAAAACAACCCACAACTAACTCGATATCTTATTTTTGAGGGGGTGAATCATTCTTTACTATATTGATTTAATGTGCATTAATAATATAGTCCTCGCTCCAATAACCTTTCTATGTCACCCAGTTGCCCTCAACCAGAGTAGCAGCGAACTCGGTCAAATTTTAGATGCATTAAACATGAGCATGGAACTTAAACTAGAAGGCAGATTCTGAAATAAATGTGTTTTTTCTTTCTTTTTGTTTTCTTTTCTTTTTTCTTTTTTTTTTTTTTTTTTTTTTTTTGAGACGGATTCTTGCTCTATCGCCCAAGCTGGAGGGCTATGGCGCGATCTTGACTCACTGCAACCTCCGCCTCATGGGTTCATGCGATTCTCATGCCTCAGCCTCCCGAGTAGCTGGGACTACAGGTTTGTGCCACCACACCCAGCTAGTAGAGGTGGGGTTTCATCATGTTGGCCAGGCTGGTCTCGAACTCCTGGCCTCAAGGGATCCGCCCATCTCTGCCTCCCAAAGTGCTGGGATTACAGGTGTGAGCCACTATGCCCGGCCAATAAACGTATTTTCTATAAATAGTACTTTACCCAGTAATTGGACTTTTAAGAAAAACAGGATTTTAAGATAATTTTTCCCCCATTGAAATATGACTGTATAAGTTATAGGCCACAGATGCTTTCATGGGAGGTGTCATTATAGGTATGAATCTGACAGTTCTTGAATGCAGGGGCATTTGGGGTAAGGTCTTGCCTTTCCAAATTCTTAGGTAACTGTTCAAGAGCCCCTTCCACCGAGACCTAAAATACATGTGCTATTTCCAGGTGCTACGAGTTCTCAAAAACAAATCATTCCTAGGAGGTTAAATTCCGTTTCCACAGCTCATATCAAAACACCATCCTCCATCCCTCATGCAGTCCCCTGCTGGAAGTTTCTGGTTTGACTGGCTGACTGCTCTGTGGTCTAAATATAGCCATTTAAAAAGAAGATTATGGCCCGTCCACCTGGGACTGCCAAAAAGCCTTTCACGAGAACTCTTGAAAGCCTGATGCCTTTAATCCTCAACTTTAATTTAAAGAAATCTTCTCAACTCATATTCCATTTTCTACATTCTCTCCCCCACCCGTCCTCCATGACAGATCTTTTAATTTCCCCTACCCCACCTTTCATTACCGAGGAATAAGACTCTTTACAAGTAGTTTCTAGAGTAAGGATGGGCTAAGCTGTTTTAATTTCTTGCAAGGATGTTTTTATAGAAGAAAATCAAGTCAACACTCAAGAGTATACACAGCCCTTTATGGAGATGGAGAGAATTAATCAGGCCAGAAAGTTCGGAATATAAAACGGGACGGGGGAGGGGAAGGATGTTTCATCAAACCGAACTGCTCTGGGAGATGCAAAGATAAAAGGATTTCCCTCTCCGAGTGCCTTAAATATTGGCAGGCAGTAGGGTCAAGATTTTTTCTTTTGTTGTTATGGAAAGCCATACAGATAATTAATGCTGTTGAAAGAAGATTGTTCTGTTGGCGTCTGCAAGGCTGGCCCCCTAGTCTGGGATCTTCTGGAAAGAAACAAGTCAGGGAAAAAAGTTATGCACCAGGGGAGATCCTGCCAATTTGCACGAGCAATAAATAATGTCCAGAGAGCAAACAGCCACCGGCTAGTTGCTCGTGGCTGCAGATATTTGATATGGGGACACAAGTCAGTGCATGCAGTGAACTTCAAATGGGGCAGGGGACTGACCCACCCCGCCCTGTCACAGGCTGCTTCTTTTAAACAATAATTATTAAAGAAAGGAAGTTGCAACAGAAGCCCAGGAAGGTTATGCATCGGCTTTGATATTTACAGTTTTTATTTCTTCCTGGATGGATAACTCCTGCTGTAATTTAATGGGCAGGAAATGTTTGATCGCCTCCTTGGATGTCCGATGCAGCCACAAGGTCTGGGAGTCCTGGCCAGGCCTGCTGGGCCCCAGGAGCCTTCCGTGTCTCTGGCTGACCCAGTCCTGAAGGGACTCAGAAAACTCAATAAACCCCAGAGTGATAACAGAAATAGCTAATGCTTACCCGGCATATAGTTTCTTTCTTTCTTTTTTTTGAGACAGGGTCTCCCTCTGTCGCCCAGGCTGAAGTGCAGTGGTGCCATCTTGGCTCACTGCAACCTCCGCCTCCCAGGCTCAAGTGATTTTCGTGCCTCAGCCTCCCAAATAGCTGGGATTACAGGTGCACACCACCACGCCCAGCTAATTTTTTGTATTTTTAGTAGAGACAGGGTTTTGCCATGTTGGCCAGGCTGGTCTCAAACTCCTGGTCTCAAGCAATCCACCAATCTCGGCCTCCCAAAGTGCTGGGATTAGAGGCATGAGCCACCACGCCCAGCCATTACCAGGCACTTTGTATGTGTTGGATCACATGCACTTTCTATACATTAGCTCACTTAATTTTTTTTTTGAGACAGGGTCTCACTGTATTGCCCAGGCTGGAATGCGGTGGCACAGTCATGGATCACAGCAACTTCCACCTCTCAGGCTCAAGCGATCCTCCTACCTCCACCTCCTGAGTAACTGAGACTATAGGTACATACCCCCACACCTAGCTAATTTTAGTGTTTTTGGTAGAGACGGGGTTTCACTATGTTGCCCAGGCTAATTTCAAACTCCTGAGCTCAAGCAATCCCCCTGCCTCGGCCTCCCAAAGTGCTGGGATTACAGGCGTGAGCCACCGCGCCCAGACAAACTTAATCCTCTTAAAACCCACAGAGGGTGATGCTCCTTTTGGTCCCCTTGTATTAATAAGGAAACAGGCTCAGAGGGGTAAAACACAGCAAAAGTCAGAGCTGGGATTTGAACCCAGGTCTTCTGGCTCTAGTCAACATTTTTTTCTAGATGCAGTGAAAGTCACATAACATAAAATTAACCATTTCAGAGTGAACAATTCAGTGGATTTAGTACATTCATAGTGTTGTGCCACCATCACCACTATCTAGGTCCCAAACATTTTTATTCCCCCAAAAGGAAACCGCATACCCCTGAGCAGTGTAGGGGCCAAGGGAAACTTCCCTTTCACTCTCTGAAGGTTCCTTGAAAATCGATGGATGAAAGGCAAATTCATAGGAGAAAAGGCATACAAATTTATTTGATCATCGTTTTACTGACATGGGAGCCTTCAGAATGAAGACCCAAAGATACAGGGAAAACTATTCATTTTTACGCTTAAGTTCAGTCAAGTGTGGACAGCCATGTAGAAACAGGATTGAACAAAAAGATATGATGAAATGCTCAGACACTGAGTTGGGAAGCCCAGTAAGGCCTATCTGTCTGGATTCTTCTTGGCCTCCGTGCAGCCTGCCTGCCTTGTCTGTGTGAGGCAGGACCCTTTCTGGATTGGGGCTCCTATGACCTACAGTCAAACAAGGCAGGTCAGATCATTTCTTTATGGCCAGTTTTTATATAGAAAGGTAGTGGGAAGTTCAAGTAATATTTTTAGGTTTTATGGCTGGTTTGGGGAAAAAGGAGTTCTGAGTTCTTTTTTTCTTTTTCTTTTTCGACTTTTATTTTAGATTCAGGGGGTACATGTGCAGGTTTGTTACCTGCTTATCTTGCCTGATGCTGAGGTTTCAGGTACAAATCCCATCACCCAGGTAATGAGTGTAGTACCCAACAGTTGGTTTTTTGACCCTTGCTTCCCTCCTTCCCTTCCCCTTCCAGGGGTCCCCACTGTCTATTGTTGCTATTTTGATGTCCATGAGTACCTGATGTTTAGCTCCCACATACAGGTGAGAACATGCGGTATTTAGTCTTCTGTTCCTATGTTAGTTTGCTTAGGAAAGGGTTCTGATTTCTAATGATTCACCTTGGGGAAGAGGATTCTAGTTTCTGTGGCCAGTCTCAGAGAATGAGGGACCAGAGACAGGAGGGCAGGAGAAGTCCGGAGAAGAACCTTTGCTTCTGAGGCTGCTTTTGAGGCCTTCATTTTGGGGTACCATTTTCTGAGCCCTAACAGGAGCAACTCCCCATTCTCTCAGCCCCTAGGAGCCACCAGTTTACATTCCCTCTCTATGGATTTACCTATTCTGGAATTTTTTTTTTTTTTTTTGAGACAGAGTGTCCCTCTGTCACCCAGGCTGGAGTACAGTGGTGTGATCTCAGCTCACTGCAACCTCCGCCTCTTGGGTTCAAGCGATTCTCCTGCCTCAGCCACCTGAGTAGCTGGGACTCCAGGCACGTGCCACCGCACCAGGCTAATTTTGTGTTTTTAGTAGAGACAAGGTTTTGCCATGTTGACCAGGCTGGTCTTGAACTCTTGGACTCAGGTGATCTGCCCTCCTCGGCCTTCCAAAGTCCTGGGATTGCAGGCATGTGCCACTGCGCCCGGCCTGGATATTTCATATAAACAAAATCCTCCACAGTGTAGCCTTTTATGTCTGGCATCATGTTTTCAAGGTTCATCCATGTTGGCACATGGATCAGTAATTCATTCCTTTTTATGGCTGCATAACATTCCATTGCCTAGATATATCACATTTTATGTATCCATTCATTTGTTGCTAGGAATGTGGCTTGTTTTTTCTTTTTGGCTGTTGCAAATAGTGCTGCTGCAGATTCCGCATGGATAGGATAATGAGGGAAGCAGAGCAGATGTGAGGCTTTAGGGAGTGGTGGAGACTGAGGCTAATTAGAGAATGGGCACCCAGGCAAATGGCTCTGAGGATTGCCAGACAGGAGTGCAAGCACAGTGTGGTCAGATCTTCCAATTTTTTTTAGAGAAAATGAAAATTTAGATCTTTATGTTAAATATCTGATATTCAAGAAAAAGCAGAAACTAAACGAAACACATCTGCAAAGGCCAAATGGGCCACCGGGTTATGAACTATATTAGGGTTCTCCAGAAAAACAGATTCAACACGATGTATTACGTTTGTTTGTATGTGGGGTGGTGGCGTGGGGGGGGCGGATTTATTATAAGGAATTGGCTCATGTGTTCATGGAGGCTGAGAAGTCCCGAGGTCTTTTTTTTTTTTTTTTAAGATGGAGTCTCACTCTGTTGCCCAGGCTGGAGTGCGGGGACATAATCTTGGCTCACTGCAACCTCTGCCTCTCAGGTTCAAGCGATTCTCCTGCCTCAGTCTCCCTAGTAGCTGGGATTACAGGCATGTGCTACCATCCCTGGCTAATTTTTATATTTTCAGTAGAGACGGGGTTTCACCATGTTGGCCAGTCTGGTCTCAAACTCCTGACCTCAAGTGATGATCCACCCACCTTGGCCTCCCAAAGTGCTGGGATTACAGGCAGAAGTCCCAAGATCTGAGTCAGCAAGCTGGAGACCCAGGAGAGCTGATGGCATAATTCCACTCTGAAGGCCAGCAGGCTCAAGAACCAGGAAGAGTCAGTGTTTCAGTTCCAGTCTGAAGGCAGGAAAAGACTGCTGTCCTGGCTCAAGTAGACAGGCAGGAGGAACTTCCTCTTACCCGAGGGAGGGTCAGCTTTTCTGTTCTGTTCAGGCTGTCAGCTGATTAGAAGAGGCCCACTCACATTAGGAAGGGCTGCCTGCTTTACTTGGTCTTCTGACTCAAATGTTCATCTCATCTGGAGGCCCCGTCACAGATACCCCCAGAATAATGTTTGGCCAAATATCTGGCTACCCCATGACCCAGTCAAGCTGACACATAAAATTAACCATCACAAGTCCACCCCTTGTCAACTTGGCACCCATATGCATCTCCTTAAGCCATGTTTAATCTCCAAGTAAAGATAATA
Source organism: Homo sapiens (assembly GCF_000001405.40). Classification (NCBI taxonomy): domain Eukaryota; kingdom Metazoa; phylum Chordata; class Mammalia; order Primates; family Hominidae; genus Homo; species Homo sapiens. The sequence continues at coordinate 111,126,859 of NC_000012.12, forward strand.
ACAAGGTCATAATCCCACGTAATGTGATACAACTATCCTGTGTACAACCAAAAATGCACTAACTCCTTCCTTGGAAGAGGAAGTAAAGGACTTCAGTGATGTTTACTCTTTTCCTTGATACCCTACAGCTTAAATACTGTGATGTAAAATTAACAATATTCAAGTACCGTAATATAAAGTCAATATATCTTATGTTACCTAATAAGGGAATGAGAAGAAAGAAAACAAAGATAATTGCTTAATATGTATCTTTATACACACACACACAAATAAGGAGGAAATACTCATGAAAATTACAGTCCTCAGTTCTGTAACTGATCATGTGGTCATAGCTGGTATAACTACTTTCTTCCACTTTGGGGTTCCCATTCCATATTCCCTTGGCCTTCGGCAAACAACTCAACTGGTCATGGTTCTTTACCTGGGCAAGTGACCCAACTTTCATTCCTGAAGGGTCTGGGCCATTAGCAGTCCTGCCTGGACTGGGTTGTAGTTTTCCATTGACCTTAGTTTGTCACAGGGCATGGTAAAACTAAGGGATCTCCTATATTCCAGGCATTCTTTCTTACCCCCATTGTGGCCTAGTTGTCCAGTGACCCTCTGATAGGGTCGTCACATCAGCCAGCACAGTAACTCCCTTCTTCGCCTGTTGTTCAGAGGCATGAGAATCCCAAAGTGGCCAGCTAACAGTCTTAACTTCCTTTTCAGTGGAATAAGTGTATCTCCTAGTAGAAACAGTCTTTTCTCTGGAACTAAGACCTCTAGACCAGCAAAGTATAAGGCCACAGAGTAAGAAGCAAACATTTAATTAGTGGCTCTTTACAGGTGTATTAATCTGTTCTCACGCTGCTAAGAGACATACCTGAGACTGGGTAATTTGTAAAGGAAAGAGGTTTAATGGACTCACAGTTCCACATGGCTGGGGAGGCCTCACAATCATGGCAGAAGGCGAAGGGGGAGCAAATGCACGTCTTACATGGTGGCAGGAAAGAGCTTGTGCAGGGCAATTCCCACTTATAAAACCATCAGGTCTTGTGAGACTTATTCACTATCACAGTATGGGGGAAACTGCCCTCATGATTCAGTTATCTCCACCTGGCCCTGCCCATGACATGTGGGGATTATTACAATTCAAGGTGAGATTTGGGTGGGGACACAGAGCCAAACCATATCAGTGGGTAATAGTGAGTGGTGCCACTCCCACTTCCACCCCTTGATTCTTGGATCACAGGCTTCGTCCTCAAATTTTCTTGTCACCAATTTTCCAATTATGTTCCTTCCAAGTCCCTGACCATCGAACCAAACCGTTAACCACAGCCCATCAATTGCTATAGAATTGCAGGACTGGCCATTTCTCCTTCTAAGCCAAGTAAACAACTAGGGGCACTGCTTGAGGTTCTGTCCACTGGGAAGATTTCCCTTCACCGCAGTCCTTCAGGGATGTCCCAGGAAGGAGCTGTCTGCTTGCCAGTGGTGCCTACATATCCTGGAGAACCATCTGTAAACCAGGTCCGGGTCAATTCTGTCAGTTTATCATAGGGAATTCCCCATGAGGCCATAGGTGCAGGCTGGGAGAGAGAAGGCAGTGCAGCAGGAATGGGGACCATGGGCATTTGGGCCACTTCATGTAACTTACTGGTGCCTTCAGGGCCTGCTTGGGCCCAATCACATATATACCACACCATTTGATGATGGAATGCTGCTGTGCATGCCCCCCTTTATGGCTTGGAGGGTCAGATAACACCCAGTTCATGATGGGTAGCTCAGAGCACAGGGTCATTTGGGGGCCCATGGTCAAGCATTCAATCTCCACTAAGGCCCAGTAGCAAACCAAGAGCTGTTTCTCAAAAAGCAGTTATCTATAGATGATATAGGGCCTTGCTCTAGAATCCTAAGGGCTTGCACTGTGATTTATCCAGATGGGGGCCTGTCGAAGACTCCAGATAGCATCCTTATCTGCCACTGACACCTCGGGCACCATGGCATCTGCTGGGTCATATGGCCCAAGCAATAGAGCAGCTTTCACAGCAGCCTAGACCTGTTGCAGAGCCTTCTCCTGTTCTGGGTCCCACTCCAAACTGGCAGCTTTTCAGGTCACTCCACACATGGGTGGAATTAACACACTCAAATGAGAAATATGTTGGCTCCCAAATCCAAAGATGCCCACTAGGCATTTTGTCTCTTTTTTGGTTGCAGGACTAACTAGATGCAACTTCTTCCCTTTAAAGGGCTATCTCCATGTGCCTCCACACTGTGGAGCCCTAGATATTTCACTGAGGTGGAAGGCAGCTGAATTTTTGTTAGATTTATTTTCTACCTTCTGGCATGCAAATGTCTTACCAATAAGTCTAGGATCATTGGGATTTCTTGCTCACAAGGTCCAATAAGCATAGTATCATAAGTGTCATGGGCTAGGGTGAAATCTTGTGGAAGGGAAAGGTGATCAAGGTCCTTGCAAACCAAATGATGACGTAGAGCCAGAGAGTGCTGTACCTGAGCTAGGACAGTGAAGGTGTGTTGCTGGCCTTGCCAGCTGAAAGCACAATGCTTCCATCCAGTGGGCCTTATGGAAAGGGTTGGAGAACAAGGCCTTTGCCAGATCAATAGCTGCATACCAGGTCCCAGGAGATTCAGGCAATGAAACCACATCTGCAATTGGGTGTGGTACTGCAGCTGCAATTGGAGCCACCACCTGGTTAATCTTACAGTAATCCACTGTCATTCTCTGAGATCCATCTGTCTTCTACATAGGCCAGATCGGCAAGTTGAGTGGGGATGTGGTGGCAGTCACCACCCCTGATCTTTCTAGTCCTTTATAGTGACGCTAATCTCTGCCAGCCCTCTAGGAATGCAGGATTACTTTTGGTTTACTAATTTCCTACATAGGGGCAGTTCTTGTGGCTTTCACTTGGCCTTTCCCACCATAATAGCACTCACTCCACAGGTCAGGCATCCAGTGTGGGGACTGTGTCTGCTGGGTATGTCTATTTCAATTATGCATTCCAGAACTGGGAAATAACCATAGAATGCATTTGGGACCCCACTCAGCCCCACTGTGAGATGAACCTGAGCTAAAACTCTATTGATCACCTGACCTCTATAAGCCCCTACTCTGACTGGAGGGCTACGGTGACATTTTGGGTCTCCTGGAATCAATGTCAGTTCTGAGCCACTGTCCAGTAGTGACTGAATGTTCTGATTACTTCCTTTTCCTCAGTGCACAGTCACTCTGGTAAAAGGCTGCAGGTTCCTTTGTGGGGGGCTGGGAGAAAAATTAACAGTATAAACTTTTGGCAGTATACCAAGGTCCTCCCTTAAGGGGACCCGGCCTCCCCTTCATTCAAAGGGTTCTGGGTCTATAAATTGGCTCCAGTCTGTGAATTGATTGAGGGGCTGTGACACTCTGTTTTTATGATTCAGGTTAAACTTTTGATCCCTTGATCTAGAACTTTACTGCTCATACAGATCAAGTAAGAATTTAGTAGGTTTCCTCTCCACTTCTAGGAACACCATCACCAACTAATTAATGTCATATAGGTCTGTGTGATTACACTATTCTGACTGCTGCTTTGATGCTGCTGTCTGTTACAGTGAGTGTCCCCACTTGGCCCCTCCCACTCTGGGATCCAGTTATACCCTTTGTATTTAGGTTTCCAAATTCAGTGACCTCAGTTCCCATGGTAAGGATTGGCTTACAGAGAAGAATGATCTCAGAGCTCTTCAAGGATGATGGGGCTCCCCCAAAAAATTTATTTCTCACAGTGTTGGTTGATAATCATGTCTCTGGTCCTTCCCAGTGTGGGTGCATAGGTCTTAAATAACAAATCCACTCTACTGTCCCAGTCTTCAATCTCTTCCTTTTAGGTCCTTGAATCTCTTCCTTTTAGATTAAACCAAGGCAGTTTTGGCATCTCCATCCCCCTCACTGTGAGCCACCTTTTGGTCCATGTTTCAGCCAACCAACCCAACACATGGTTAGAACCCTTTCTAACTCCCAGGCTGCAACATTAAATGCAGAATCTCTGCTTAGTATGCCTATATCCATAAATTTAGCCTGATTCAATTTTATGTTCCTTCCACCATTATCCCACACCTATTGCCATGCATGTTCCCCAGATTTCTATCTTATGAATTAGAAAACTCAAGTTGTTCTTTTGGAGTGTAGCACACCTCATGGGTCACTTTTTTTATGCCTCCTGTATTAGTTTGTTTTCACACTGCTGATAAAGACATACTTGAGACTGGGAAGAGAAAGAAGTTTAATTGGACTTACAGTTCCACATGGCTGCGGTGGCCTCAGAATCATGGCAGGAGGCAAAAGGCACTTCTTACATGGTGGTGGCAAGAGAAAAAAATGAGGAAGAAGCAAAAGCAGAAACCCCTGATAAACCCATCAGATCTCGTGAGACTTATTCACTATCACGAGAATAGCATGGGAAAGACCAGCCCCTGTGATTCCATTATCTCCCCCTGGGTCCCTCCCACAACACATGGGAATTCTGGGAGATACATTCAAGTGGAGATTTGGGTTGGGGCACAGCCAAACCATATCTTTCCACCCCTGGCCCTTCCAAATCTCATGTCCTCTCATTTCAAAACCAATCATGCCTTCCCAACAGTCCCCCAAAGTCTTAACTCATTAGAGAATTAACCCAAAAGTCCACAGTCCAAAGTCTCATCTGAGACAAGGCAAGTCCCTTCCACCTATAAGCCTATAAAATCAAAAGCAAGCTAGTTACTTCCTAGATACAGTGGGGGCACAGGTATTAGGTAAATACAGCCATTCCGAATGAGAGAAATTGGCCAAAACAAAGGGGTTACAGGGCCCATGCAAGTCCGAAATCCAGTGGGGCAGTCAAATTTTAAAGCTCCAAAATGATCTCCTTTGATTCCAGATCTCACATCCAGGTCATGTTGATGCAAAAGATGGCTTCCCATGGTCTTGGGCAGCTCCACCCCTGTGGCTTTGCAGGGTACAGCCTCCCTCTCAGACACTCCCACGGGCTGGCATCAAGTATCTACAGCTCTTCCAGGCTCACAGTGCAAGCTGTCAGTGGATCTACCATTCTGGGGTCTGGAGGACAGTGGCTGTCTTCTCACAGCTCCACTAGGCAGTGCCCCAGTAGGGACTCTGTTGGGGAGCTCCCACCCCGCATTTCCCTTTTGTACTGCCCTAGCAAACGTTCTCCATGAGGGCCCCACCCCTGCAGCAAACTTTTGCCTGGTCATCCAGGCATTTCCATACATCTTCTGAAATCTCGATGGAAGTTCCCAAACCTCAATTCTTGACTTCTCTGTGCCTGCAGGCTCAACACCCTGTGGAAGCTGCCAAAGCTTGGGGCTTCTGCCCTCTGAAGCCATGGCCCGAGCTGTACACTGGCCCCTTTCAGCCATGGCTGGAGCAGCTGGGACACAGGGCACCAAGTCCTTAGGCTGCACACAGCATGGGGACCCTGGACCCAGCCCATGAAATCACTTTTTCCTCCTAGACCTCTGGGCCTGTGATGGGAGGGGCGGCTGTGAAGGTCTCTGACATGGCCTGAAGACATTTTCCCCCATGGGCTTGGGGATTAACATTAGGCTCCTTGCTACTTATGTAAATTTCTGCAGCTGGCTTGAATTTCTCCCCAGAAAATGGGCTTTTCTTATCTACTGCATCATCAGGCTGCAAATTTTCTGAATTTTTATGCTCTGTTTCCTTTTTTTTTTTTTTTTTTTTTTTTTTTGAGACAGAGTCTCACTCTGTCACCCAGGCTGGAGTGCAATGGCACTATCTCAACTAACCGCAACCTCTGCCTCCCAGATTCAAGCAATTCTCCTGTCTCAGCCTCCCAAGTAGCTGGGATTACAGGCATCCACCACCACGCCCAGCTAATTTTTCTATTTTTTATTAGAGATGGGGTTTCACCACATTGGCTAGGCTGGTCTCAAACTCCTGACCTCAGGTGATGCGCCTGCCTCGGCCTCCCAAAGTGCTGGGATTACAGGCATGAGCCACTATGCCTGGCCTGTTTCCCTTTTAAGATGGAATGCTTTTAACAGCACTCAAAGCACATTTTGAATGCTTTGCTGCTTAGAAATTTTTTCTGCCAGATACCCTAAATCATCTCTCTCAAGTTCAAAGTTCCAAAAATCTCTAGGGCAGGGGCAAAATGCTGCCAGTCTCTTTGCTAAAACATAACAAACCTTTGCTCCAGGTCCCCACAGGATCCTCATCTCCATCTGAGACCACCTCAGCCTCAACCTTATTGTTCATATCACTATCAGCATTTTTGTCAAAGCCATTCAACAAGTCTCTAGGAGGTTCCAAACATTTCCACATTTTCCTGTCTTAGCCCTCTAAACTGTTCCAACCTCTGCCTGTTACCCAGTTCTAAAGTCGCTTCCACATTTTCAGGTGTCTTTTCAGCAACACCCCACTCTACTGGTACCAATTTACTATATTAGTTCGTTTTCACGCTGCCGATAAAGATGTACCCAAAACTGGGAACAAAAAGAGGTTTCATTGGACTTACAGTTCCATATGGCTGAGGTGGCCTCAGATTCATGGCAGGAGGCAAAAGGCACTTCTTACATGGCAGTAGCAAGAGAAAAAAAATGAAGAAGCAAAAACGGAAACCCCTGATAAACTCATCAGATCTCATGAGAGTTACTATCATGAGAACAGCACAGGAAAGACTGGCCCCCATGATTCAGTTACCTCCCTTTGGGTCCCTCCCACAACACGTGGGAATTCTGAGAGATAAAATTCAAGTTGAGATTTGGGTGGGGGCACAGCCAAACCATATCACCTCCCCTTTAGGGGCCTGCTGGGAATTCAGTCTAGTTACAAGTCTAGAAGCAAAGAGGTGGTTGGGGGCGGGGGTCTTTAGGAGACTTAGGATTGTCTTGTATGGCAGCTACCTCAGGGGAGGCTGTAAGAGTTTCCCCAGGCAGTGCAGGGTTAATTCCCTCAGTAGGACGTGGAGAGGCCACTCCAGCTGGTGGTGGGGAGACTTCTTCCACTGGCAAGGAAGACTCAGAGTTTAGGGTCTCAGTGTGCCCAGCTTCACCAGGGTCTTCCCACCTGTCCCCATCCTAACTTTCAGGGTTCCATTCCATCACAATGCCTTCACTTTAGCAGCAGACACCCTACAAGGCTAGGAGTTCAACTTGCATTGTAATTCAGCCAGTCACAGAATGAGATTCTGGGTCTGATTTTCAGCAATCTCAGCCCTGCAGCTACAGGAGATTAGAGTCTCCCTCAGGGCATGCATGGAAGCTTTCAGGCCATTTATGTGGCACTTGAGCTGGTAACTTAAATCTCTAAACTCATCCTTTTCTTTCCCCATTGTGTCCAGAGACATTAGGACCAACCAGCCAATGTCATTGTATTCCTAGTTTGCCAAAAATGTTTCAAAGTATCTGGCATATCAAGTGGGCCTTAAAAAGAGAAAGTATTATGGACACTGTCACCCACATGCGTGCTTCTTATCAGTGGTTGATTTGGAATATCTATTGGAGATAGTTTGCATATCTCTATTAGGGAATAAACACCATGGACTATCAGTGTTCTCTTTACTACTGGAAATAGAGTCATTAGCATCTTTATATCTAATTGAATTAGAGAGCCAACCCCAGAAATCCCAAAACCATGTCTGAATACTCATCCTTAAAATTCTGTTCCTCTCTAACCACTCCTGGTGCCAAAATCTGTATTAGGGTTTTCCAGAGAAACAGAACCAATAAGATCTCTTTCTCTCTCTCTCTCTCTCTCTCTCTCTGTGTGTGTGTGTGTGTGTGTGTGTGTGTTTCTGCTGCTGGTATAGTCAAACCAAATATGTACCTAGAGCAATGTAAGCTGATATAGGTGATAAGGAGATGCCCAGGGAGACCAACTGAATTTTGCCTGGAGAGGTCAAGGAAGACTCCCTGGAGGAGGTGACACTTGAGCTGTGTTATGAAGGATAAAAGAGGGTTTACCAGAAAAACTGGGTGGGAAAGGGAACTCCAGGCAGAAGGACCATGTGTGCTTGGGTTCCTACAGCTAGTTCAGTGTGATCTAAACACACGGTACATGTGGGGACATGACAGGGACATGTCTGGAGAGTAGGGCAAGGTATTTTCCCTTGAGGGCCACAGAAGCCATTCAGGGCTTTGAGCAGAGCAGTGGCTGGGGTTCAGTTGTGTACTAGAAAGATTGCTCTGGGGACTGTTGATTGAGCACCTGCTGTGTGCCAGGCCCTGGAGTTTCAATGGCGAGACAGAAAAGGTCCATTTGGAGCTCTATTTTAGAGAGAAAGACTGTAAATAGTAGAAAGGTATGTGTGTGGTCCGTCCACAGTGATAAGTGCTATGAAGAAAAAAAAAAGAGAAGAAAGAATGGGGTGCAGGGGAGGGTGGGGTGTGGGATAGGTAGAGCTCATGCAGTTTTAAATAGAGTTTCACTGAGACAGTGACATTTGCACCTTTGAAGGATTTGAATAAGGCAGCCATGAGGATATCGGGGAAAGGGCATTCCTAGCTGAGTGAACCACCAATGCAAAATGCAAAATGGTGCAGCTGCTGTGGGAAGCAGTTTGATGGTTTCTCAGTAAGTTAAACATAGACTTAACCATGTGACCCAGCAATTCTGCTCCCAGGAATATACCCAAAAAAATTGAAAACAGGTGCTCCAACCAAAACATATACACAGATGTTCACAGCAGCACTATTCACACTAGCCAAAAGGTAGAACCAACCCGCATGTGCATCGCTCATGAATGGATAAATACAATGTGGTCTGTCCATACAATGGAATATTATTCAGCCATGAAAAAGAATGCATCTCTGACACAGGCTGCAACAAGGATGAGCCCCAAACACAATGCTGATTAAAAGAGGCCAGACGCAAAAGACCATGTAGCGTAGGATTCCATTTATGCAAAATGTCCAGAACAGGCAAATCCATAGAGACAGAAAGCAGATTAGTGCTTTCCAGGGGCTGGGGAAAGGAGAATGGGAAACAGATACTTGCTGGGTCTTGGGGTGATGAAATGTTCTGAAAGTAGATAGAGGCAATGGTTGTACAATATTGTGAATGTACTAATAAGTGCCACTGAACTGTGTGCATTCAGATATTAATATGCACTCCTACAATTAGTGTCTGGTTGACTGAAGGAGGAGTGAGGGGGCAGGTGGGTGCGGGGCCCGGGTGAGGACTTCAGCCTTTGCTCTGAGTGAGCTGGGAGCCTCAAAGGTTTGGAGTAGAGGGGTGAGGTCATTGACTCCGACGGCCACATGGGGAATAGGCCTAAGGGGTGTGGATTGGAGCCGGGACCCCATGAGAAGGATGCAGGAACATCGCGTGTTCCTGCACGTGATGAGGGTGGGAGGGAATGGAGGGGTGAGAAGTGACGCGATTCTCGGTAGAATTTAAAGATGGAGCCAACAAGACTTGCACGTGGGAAGTGAGAGAGAGAGCGGAGTCCACAATTTGGCCTGAACTATGGGAGGATGGAGCTGCCCTTTCCTGAGATGGTGGTGCCTGGGAGAGAAGAGGGAGGATAAAGCCAGGTGGGGGCTCTGCTTTGGGGCCAGAGGGGGCTGCTGCATTGACCTCGCCAGACCCAACAGGGGCAAGGCCTCTTGACAGGGAGACCCCAGCTGCATTTGAGCAGCCTCTGGAAAAATTGCAGGTGCAGCAGGGCCAGGAGGTTTTGTGTCAAGAAATAAAATGACAGGCACATCTATGAAGCCCTCAGCTCTTGGTTGGGCACTGTGCTGAGAGCCTTTTGCCCTTCATCTCATTTAATTGATGTAGCGTCCCATGGTTGCTACAGTTATTAACCCATTATACAGGTAGATGTGGAAGGCTCAGAGAGATTTGCCCAAGGTCACCCAGCAAGTAAGTGGCCAGCCAAGGTTTGGATCTCTGGGAGCCTGGCTCCAAGACCCAGCCATTTGTTTGTCAGGAGTTCTTGCCTTCCAGGACTGGAAAGGTCAATGCCTTTGAAGTCAGTGCAGGAACTTACAGGGTCTCACTAAACAGTCTCAAGTGGCTGAGGCAGGGGAGAGTGTATGTGTCAAGATTTGGTCTAAGAATCCGCTGTTTATTTTTTATGGCTTTTTTTTTTTTTGAGACAGGGTCTCGCTCTGTTGCCCAGGCTGGAGTGCAGTGGCACGATCTTGGTTCATTGCAACCTCTGCTTCCCAGGCTCAAACAGTTCTCCAGCCTCAGCCTCCCGAGTAGGTGGGACCACAGGCACGAGCCACCACACCTGGCTAATTTTTTTTTTTTTTTTGGTAGAGATGGCCATCTTGGCCAAGCTGGCCTCAAACTACTGAGCTCAAAGTGATCCCCCTGCCTGGGCCTCCCAAAGTGCTGGGATTACAGGCATGAGCCACCACTCCCATCCAAAATCCACTGTAAAGGGACACTTTAAAGTCCACTGTAAAGTCCACTGTAAAGGGACAGAGGCAAGAGAAGTATTGACCAAGTTGGTCTTAGTGCTGTCACCTCTCTTCTGCTGATGTTGTTGTTGTTGTTTGTTGATGTTGTCGTTGTTGTTGATGTTGTTAAATAGAATTGAAATCAGACACTTTGGGGAAAGGTAAATTCTGAAGGGGAAAATGGTAGAGCATTACTAGAGGTTATTTCTGAATGATGGGATTTTTATAAACTTTATTTATTTACTTATTTAAATTTTTTTTTGAGACAGGGTCTTGTTCTGTCACCCAGGCACAAGTGCAGTGGCCCAATCACAGTTCACTACAGTCTCGACCTCCCCAGGCTCAGGTGGTTCTCCCACCTCAGCCTCCAGAGTAGTTGGAACTCCAGGTGCATGCCACCATACCCAGCTAATTTTTAAATTTTTTCATAGAGATTGGGTCTCACTATGTTGCCCAAGCTGGCCTCGAACTTCTGGCCCCAAGCGATCCTCTTACCTTGGCCTCCCAAAGCGCTGGGATTATAGGCATGAACCAGCCACCATGCACAGCCCACCCAGAATTTGCTTAGGGGTGAGCATGGGGCAGGAATGAAGCACTGGACCACCAATTCCCTGCCCTGACATTGATGGCAGAACAGTGGAACAAGCTCTGGTCATGACAGAATCAGGTCACCTGAGTCCAGCCCTGCTGTCTGGCTTTGGGCAAGTGTCTTAACCTCTCTGGGCATCTGGAAAGAGACCGTATGGGTAGGCCATGTGACGGCTCTAGCCTGGACTGCTGAAAAGGTGGGGTCTCCAGCTGTAGGAACCCCTACTCCCATCCCCTTTACCCCTCCCACAGAGGATCTGCCACTGCCAGGCTGGCCGAGGGGAGGGGCTTGGCATGAGGACCAGCAGATGCCAGTCTCGCTCCACGCACAGATGTATCTGCCAGTTTCTGATAGGGAGAAGCGATCTGGGAGTCGCTCACTTCATTGATAATTAAATTCAAATTAAGAGAGATTTGCATTTATCAAAAGCCTGTTTGACAAGGTGTCACTGTTCTCATCCAGCACCCGGGCGCTGGGGAGCCAGCAGGGGGAGGTGCAGTCATGTGGGGGTGGGGAGAGAGGAGGGGTAGGGGTGGAGGAGAGGGGAAAACATCAGAGAGGCTGCCTGTCAGCCCTTCATTATTCCAGAGGGTCGCAGCTCCATGGTAAGTGGCAGGAAATGCTGTGTGGCCTCGGTCAGGCTGCTTGACCTTTCTGAGCCTCAGTTTCCCCATGGCAGCCCCCAGGGTTCCCTCCTCCATGGACTGCTACCATTTGGCTTCTGCTTAGGTTAAGAATCCCCCATCCCTACCACCCTTCTTGATTGAATGCTAGGAAGGAGAGCCATAGAATCTCCAGGGGACATTGTTGGTGGCCCACCCAGACCCCTTTGCCAAGCAGCACCCATCCCCGCTGTGACTTGACTGTTCTGTTCTCCAGGGAATTGCAAGATGTTCCATCCCATCCCACCCTAGGGGCAGCCCACAGCCCCTGAGTGACTTGATTCAGGGGAAGAGTAAAAGCCTGGCCCGCTTCCCTCAAGTTGGGACTGCACTATGGTACCATTCACCCCACACAGCTCCCAGGGGCGACACTGGACTCTCGCTGAGCCCACATTTCCACCCAGCTCCTCTCCTGCCCCCACCTGCTTCCCTTACTCCTGCCAGCTTCCTCTTGAGGGCATATCCCCGTCCCCCAATAAGTCACTAGCCCCCAGATCCCCATCTCAGCCCCCAGAGAACCCGACCCAAGACAGAATCCCATCTGGACTACAGGCCCGTCTTTGATCGCCATGTGACCTCCAGCAGGTTGTTAAACTCCCTGAGCCTCAGGGACTTCGTGGGGGGCATGAGGATAAGATAGCCCTCACTCTTTGGGATGGTCTACGAGGACCAAGGGACATGATGGATTTGACATTCCTTCTTGTAAACCAGAAGGTTTCATGTAACTGGAGGCTCTCTTTGGAGAAGAGAGAAAGATCCTGCTGGCCCGAGTGGTCCACAAGTGCTCAATAGGAGGAGAATGGATGGGGTTTGGGAGAGAAAGGAGAGGGGTATGTGATGGGGACATTTTCTGCCTCCCTGGCCTGGGATGAGCTGCAGAGAGTGGATGAACCACAGATGGCATTTGTGGCAAAGGTTTGAGCAATGGGCCTATGTTCAGAAATAATGGTGGTCGAAGTTGTGGTCATGGAGATCGTTATTTTTCCAGCACTGCGTTGGGACAGATACTTTCCAACCCCTCAGAGGAGGCTCTTCTAAGGCAGCGGGCATTTCTGGCTTTATCTGATCCAGCATCATCTCAGCCACAGCCAGCTGCTATTCTTCCTTGGGAGGCCTTTGTATCATGAACACCTGATTGACAAAAATCTGCTATACAAAGTGGATGAACAAAGGAATAGTTGTATGCACTGCATACAGTTCATCCGTTCCTTCCATGGGGCTGAGCTTCCCAAGGTCATGGCAAATAGGATAAGCGTTCAGAACAATTTTCTCCCAAGAACTGCCTACTGTGTCAAAGGTGGTGGACCCACCTTCACTCTGCCCGAGAGCCACTTGGACTTACAGGTCCAGATGTTAAAATCGGACAAACCCAGGTGCTAATCCAAACTCAGCCCTGAACTAGCCGTGTGACCTTGGGTAAGTCACTTCCCCTCTCTGAGCCCCCATCACCTGGTCTGTGAAATGGGGATATAAATGAGGGTGGTTAGGAGGATCAGTGAGGCAGTCGTGGGACCTGCCCTACAGTGTAAATGTCAGTATTTGGCATTTCCAGTAACTTCTCTGTTCTTTTTCTTCCCTCTGCTGGCTCCACTCCCTGTCCCTCACTGTGTTCCTTAAAGACATTTTTTCAGTGTTGAAACCTTCCAGGTCAGCGCTGCTTGCAAAAATAGCAAAAGACTTGGGGTGAGCTGGAAACCCATTTAACAACTTTCTGAGGACCCCTGCAAGGCTATACAGGGACTTAATTTCCCAGGCAGAGGAGCGAGAACAGCAGGTCCTGTGGCCATTGATGGGGGACAATTGACAATTGAAGGCAACTCTCACTTTCTCATCAATACCATAGATTGAGCTAGCAGCGAAGAGATTTTCAGAGTTTTATTCTTTTTGTGAGTCACAGCACCACCTATCAAATTGAGCACCCCCTCTTGATCTAGGAATATTAGTACAGAAGATAATATTATTTTCCCGGCCATGGTGAAGGCAGGTCTTCAGAAGCACTCAGCTTCCAGCTTCGTGGCTGGGTGCATCCTCCTCTTTTATATTAATAGGTTTCATCCACTAGATGTTCTCCATTTACACGCGAAACTGGAAAAAAGCAGCAGCTAAATATAGCCCCTGCACAGGCAGGCTGCCGTGGTCCGAAGCTAAGGGAACAGGCAAAATCAGAATAGGGGTGGGGGAATGCGCAGCCCTTGTCACACTCCAGTTGTGACTCCAGGGTGGCAGAGGTCCCTAACGTGAACTCGAAAGCTGTGTTACCTTTGGCAGTTTACACTACCTCTCTGAGCTTCAGTTTTCCCCTCTCTAAAGTGGCATCATTTCTCTTGATGATATTTCAGTTTTATTTCCTTGGCTCAGTGTTCCCACCTGGGGACGATGCCTGAGAAGTGAGCAGGGAGCCTCAGGTGACGCCTGCAGGATATGTTTCTCTGGTCTCATTTTTTAGTGTCGTTCTGAAGATTGAGAGGAGATGGCACGTGAAGGGAGATGTTCTATGTGGACCACCAAACTTTGAGATGAAGATGAGTCAGATAAAGCCAGAAATGCCCGCTGCCTTAGAAGAGCCTCCTCTGAGGGACTGGAAAGCATTTGTCCCAATGCAGTGCCGGAAAAATAACAATCTCAGTGATTTCTCAGGCCCTTTGAATTAAGACTATAGTTTAAATCCTCATCTTAGGTACAAATTAGGGACTCAGGGGCTTAGGTCAACACACACACACACACACACACACACACATTCTTCTTGGTAGAGGTGTTCTTCCTTTTGCTCTTCAAAGGAGACAAATCTTTGGTGGCAGTTAAGAGACCTGTGCCTGTACTTGTTTGGTAACCTGGATAAAGTATTTCCTGTCTCCAAACCTCAGTTTCCCTACCTGTAAAATGGGCACAGTGCTAACTCCTCGGACTAAACAAGATGAAAATAAAAATGATTGACATTTATTGAGCACCTACTCTTTATCTGGCCCCATGCTAAGCCTCATCTAAGTATCTAAGCACCTAAGAACAGCCCCATTAGATAAGTACTAGTATTATCCCTATGTTACAGGAGGGGAAAATGGAGACTCAGAGAGGGAGTGACTTTTCCCCCAGGTCACACAGCAAGTAAGTAGAGCCAGGACATAAACCCAACTCTGGGCAATTTTAAAGCCTAGATGCTCTTGAGCTCCCAAGTCATGTGTCCCCCAGTGAATGTCAAGGTCTTAGTTCCATGCATGGTACCTAATAGGCACCCAGTAAATATTTGCTATGGTGACCGTGACATTGATGGTGATGTTTGGAAAACTAGGCTGGGCAGTGGCTCACGCCTATAATCCCAGCACTTTGGGAGGCTGAGGCAGGCAGATCACTTGAGGCCAGGAGTTCGAGACCAGCCTGGCCAACATGCGAAACCCTGTCTCTACTAAAAATACAAAAATTAGCAGGGCATGGTGGTGTGTGCCTGTAATCCCAGCTACTCAGGAGGCTGAGGCAGGAGAATCACTTGAACCCTGGAGGTGGAGGTTGCAGTGAGCCAAGATCACGCCACTGCACTCCAGCCTGGGTGACAGAGTGAGACTCCATCTCAAAAAAAAGGGAAAACTATTGCCTGGGGGCAGGGCAATGGAATATAGGATGCCTTTCCTAGCAAGATTTATCATGGAAATTTGTAAATTTCCATTAGATTTCCAAATGGGAAGGATCATGCTGACATGAGCCACATGCAAAGTATGGCCCCTCCAATTCAAAATAAAAGGGATGTATTTATATATCCACATCCTCACATTTTGGTATCTCAGAAACCAGGCAGAATACTGTGAGGCAATGTACAGTGGCATAAAAGATCGTCCCAATTTAATCCATCTATCTAGTGTTCCATCTAATTACTATATTAGAAAAGTCTTCAGACCATGTATTGAACATTATAAATGGGAATAAAATGATTCTGGTAATGGCTTAATAAAACAGGTGAGGTAGCTCCGTCTGTCTGCCTGTATCCTTGGACCATGGCCAGACTGATTTGTCAGGGAAGGAAAAAAAAAAAAAAAAAACAGAAATGGGCTTGTGTTGTTGCACTTTGGAGATTGTCTCCATTAGGGGCCTTTGATTTTATTCTTGTTTTTCCTTATGAGAAGTGCTTATCGGTTCCTTTTGTTAACAGCAAAATATGTAGAACTGATGGAAAAACTGACAGCAGCCGTTTCATATTTTATAAAGCTGCTCCCGGCTTGTAATTTGCTGGTTGGGATGAATCGAGGAACCCTGAAACTCCTGGTGAATTTCTAGCTGATGACTGCAGTCTCATTGGAGGGCCTGTGTAACCGCTGGGATTTTGCTGCTGTGGGGAGCTGCAGCTGGGGGAGGCAGAGAGAGCCCAGGGTCAAGAAGCGATGTGCCAATCACAGAGGGCTGGCATTGCCCAATCAGAAGGGATCTGAGATCCATGTGTATTAGATCGCCTTTTCTCCGAGTGCCTAGAAGGTGTTCGCTTTTTTTGGAATCTCTGAGGCCTTCTGTATCTATCAAAAAAGGACTTCCTCCTTCTCTCTCTACAAATGCCCACTGTCTTTGCACTTTGTGCCATGAAGTCTCCTGTCCCCTTTCCTCAAGAGCTGCCATTGCTACTGAGACTTGACACATCCTGTCTGAATTTGCTCCTGGCTTCGGGGCTGGTATCCAGCAACCAGCAACAGGGGGGCCACATGACTCCTTGGTGCAAATCCCTTCCAGCTTCCAAGGAGCTGCACTGGATGAAGGAGCAAAAAACGCCCTTCTCCCACAAGTGCCTTGGGTGTTTCCAGCTCCAAACTCTAATTTCTGCCTCCAAGTAGACTAATATGCGGGTGTCGGAGGTTAAATTCCAGCGCATCAAGGAGGTGCCCATTTTTCACAGAGCCCTGTCATTCGCACCAGGCGTCGTCCACGTTGTCATGGCTACACAGGCCCGGGACCCCAGAGACGGGAGTGCAGAATTAATGGCAGTCCCGAGTAAAGGATTCCTGTCTTGGCAAGGTTGATGGATTACATTGATGTACCATTTGTCATACTGTAATTGTTCTGGCAAATGTAATACCCACTAGTATAAACATTGTACTGCTTTGCTAATAAAACCCAAAATAGGGAGAGAAAGGATGATACAGTGTTATGCTCACTTAAAGAGACAATGCCGACTTTCCAAGTTGGAGCTCACTTCTTTTTCTGGAGGCCTCGCCGCCTGATGCCTTCTCCATCAATGTGCGTCCCTGTGCTAAGCACTGTCCACCACCCGGCTTCCCTGCATGCCTGGCATGGGCCATCTGGGGTGTGTGGGGGGGTTTTTTTCTTGGAAGCTCTGGGGACTCAGTTTCCCTCTCTGTCAGCACCTCCCAGGATTCCTCTTGGGAGTTGTTGCCCAAAACCTCTTTGTGTTTCCTTGGTGCCTGCTTGACATCACTAGCAGAGTCTGTTTATCCAAACTGACTCGGCATTCAAGCCTCTCCTCTGAAGTGGCTGATGCCTCCAAGAAGCCCTCCCTGACCAGCCAGGCCTTCTCCAAATTCTCAGACATTGCTCAGGCCTGTGTGACAGGCAGTGGACCCCCCACTGCCTGGTGCCTGTACTGCTGTATGATCCCCCCTATTAGATCATGAGGTCTTTAAAGGCCAGGCCTGGGCCTTTAATATCTCCATCTCCTCCTGTCTCACTAATGATGCCCAGAACTGTGTTTGGGACACAGAAGGTGCTTAATTAGTTCTCAATTATTGACTCACTGGTTTCCCATTGGGCATGAGAGGCTTAACTGAGCAGCTTCATTGGCCTATCTCAACCTTTCAGGACCCCCAGACACCCACGCTGCCTTTTCCGGAGCCATCAGTAAAACCCTGCTTTTCCTCCTATTCGGAACGTCTCTTTTGGCCTCTGCCTGGCCTTTATCCATGATCTTCCCGGTCACTAGGCTGCCTTTTCCCAGCTTTTTAGCTGATTAACTCCCAACTCAAATGTCACCTCTTCTGGAGAGCCTCCCCTGACCCCAGATCCCCACACTGGGTTTGTGGGGGGCTTCTCCTTGGGCTTCACTCTGCAGAAGCACATATCACAGTGGGGGACATGCATATTTCCTCTCCTGTGCATCACTGAGGGCACCTCTGTGTCACATCTCCCTCGTGCTCAGCTCTGGAGCCCAAGCATCCAGCTTGAAATTCCTGAATGCTTAAAGATGAACGAATGAATGCCTTTAGCTTACCACTGCTGTCCGTGGGTTGAGCTATGCTTAAATCCCCTTTGTTGAAGGCAGCAGTTGAGGGTGAAATTGGGGGCCGGGGAGGGGGTGCCTATCCAAGGATCTTTACCTGGAGGCCTGAGGATGGAAGACTGTGGGCCGGGCAGTAGCTCTTTCTCTTGTCACTGGGTCAGGCTGTGAGTGAGCTGGGGGTGGGCTCTCTGGTCATACCTTTTTCCTGTCCCACCGTCTTCCACCTGGGATAGGCAGGGCAGAGGCTTCTGCTGGGAACTTGGGGAGTGCCCTGGACGCAGCTTGGCCTCCATCTTCTTTCATCTCACCTCCTAGCCTCCAGGCTGAGTTTCTGCTTTCCCAAGAAGTCTTCTGAGCCATAAGCATTGATCTTTCTGATCCCTGCAACCCTCTTTCCTCGAGCTGTCAGGGCACAGGGACAGAAGGGCCTGCACAGGATCTGTGATCTCATATAATGCTTGTCCAGGCGTGGCTTGGCTTTCATGTGTTAACATGCAGGATTTCTTTACTCTGTCCAAACCCCCTCTATCCATGTGGGGTGAGCCCATGGCCCTAGCACCTTCTGAGGTTCACTCCTATGAGGAATGTATTCAGCTGCAAGTAACTGGAAACCCAGCTAACCAGTGCCTTAAGCTTCATTCATTTATCCATTGAAACAGGGTCTCACTCTGCCATCCAGGCCAATGATTGGAGTACAGTGGCATGATCATAGCTCACTGTAGCCTCAAACTCTTGGGCTCAAGCAATCCTCCCACCTCAGCCTCCCAAGCAGCTGGGAATACAGGTATACGCCACCATGCCCAACTAATTTTTTTACTATAGAGATGGCGGTCTCCCTATCTGTTGCCCAGGCTGGTCTTGAATTCCTAGCCTCAAGTCTTCCTCCTGCCTCAGCCTCCCAAAGTGCCGGGATTACAGGCTAGAGCCACCATGCTCGGCTATTTATTTATTTATTTTGAGACTCCATCTTGCTCTGTCACCCAGGCTGGAGTGCAGTGGCGTGATCTCGGCTCTCTGCAGTCTCTGCCTCCCAGGTTCAAGCAATTCTCCTGCCTCAGCCTCCCGAGTAGCTGGGATTACAGCCATGCGCCACCACACCCAGCTTTTTTGTTTGTTTGTTTGTTTGTTTTTGTTTTGTTTTGTTTTGTTTTGTATTTTTAGTAGACGCGGGGTTTCACCATATTGGCCAGGCTGGTCTGGAACTCCTGACCTTGTGATCCACCCACCTCGGCCTCCCAAAGTGCTGGGATTACAGGTGTGAGCCACCACACCCGGCCCTGGCTATTTATTTTTAAACAAACTTTGTATTTAGAGAAGTTTTAAGTTCACAGCAAAATTGAGCAGAGCATATAGAGAATTTCCATATATGCCTCGCCCCTACACGGCACATTCTCTACCACCAGCAACACGCCCACCCAAGTGGGACATGTGTTATAACTGATGAACCCACACTGACACCTCATTATCACCCAGAGTCCACAGTTGACATTAGGCTTCACTGTTGGTGGTGTACATGCTATGGGTTTGGACAAATGTATGACGACGTGGCTCCACCATTGTAGTATCATGAAGAAGAGTTTTCCTGCCCTAAAAATCCTCTTGTATTCCACCTACTTATCCCTCTTTCCCCCAACGTTCCTGGTACCCACTGATCATTTTACTGCCTCCATAGTTTTGCCTTTTTCAGTATGTTGTATAGTTGGAATTATACTGTGTGTGATATGGTTTGGCTGTGTCCCCACCCAGTCTGTGATACTTCTGCATGGCAGCCCCAGGAAATGAGAACAGATGACAGTGGGGAAAGGGGTTGGGATAGCTTGTGGGTGGCCAATCTGTAGTGTTTGCCACAGGTAGATTCTGTTATTATCACATTTTACAGAAGAGCAAGCAAAGCGAGAGAGGGTTAGTAACGTGTATTTGATCCAAGGACACTAACGTGCGGGTGTGAGAGGTTAAATTCCAGCGTGGTCTAGCATGATCATCAGAGTTTTGGTCCCAGAGTCAGACCCCGTAGGTTTAAATCTCAGCTTCCCCACTAATAATTCTGTGTGACCTTGATAGAGTTGCTTCAGCTCCTGGGGCTCGGTTTCTCCTTCTGTAAAATGGGCATAATAATAGCTCTGGGGCCAGGTGCGGTGGCTGACACCTGTAATCCCAGCACCTTGGGAGGTTGAGGTGGGCAGGTCACTTAAGGTCAGGAGTTCGAGACCAACCTAACCAACATGGTGAAACCCTGTCTCTATTAAAAATACAAAAAATTAGTTGGGCATGGTGTCACGTGCCTGTAATCCCAGATAATCGGGAGGCTGAGGCAGGAGAATTGCTTGAACTCGGGAGGCAGTGGTTCCAGTGAGCCGAGATCATGCCATGCACTGTAGCCTGGGTGACAGAGCGAGACTCTGTCTCAAAATAAATAATGAATGAGTGAATGAATGCATGCATGCATGCTCTGATCTCCAACATGAGATTTAGATGAGATGAACTGTGGAGAATTATTTTCAGAACTATTTTGGTAGATGCTAACAAAGCTGGAAATTGAACCAGTTCTATCTGATTCTTAGTCCTAGCAGTGTTTGGGGAGGGGAGAGGAGGTCCTAGCATTAATCTTGCTCCCCCAGCCAGGTGGCCCACTCAGAGCAATACAAAATAACCTGGGATTTATGTCCCCATGGTCAACTCTCACCACATTTGTCCCCACTGCCCGCCAGGCTCCCACTGTGCCCCTGTCTTTTCCCTAGTCCCTGCCCAAGGGGCCCCCTTTCCCTGGCACAGTTCCAAGCTGGGATTAAGAGCCTTTTTCAAGTTCATGGTTCCCACCCTCTCGTGCTCTAGGCTCCCAGGATCCAGCTCTCATAGGTTGGGGGCCCCCAGATTGCTCGATTGCATGGAGCAGGGTGTGATAACAGAGCCTGGCATTGAGAGGAGACAGGATGAAGATGGATGGCAAGCCTGCTCAGAGCTGGGCACCTGCAAGGCTGTCACAAGGTCACCTGGCAGAGGAGGGAGAGGGCGAGGGAGGTGGCCTGGAGCAGATCTCTATGATGCCACAGCAAAGGTAGCAAAAGCCCAGGTAGGCATGCCCAGGAAGGCGATGTGTCCAGCAGGTCTCAGCAAACGAGTCCTCCAGGGGGCCCAGGCTCCCAGACACAGGGGCTGACTTGTCAAGGAGGTTTCCCACCCAGGCGCCCAGTCATTGGCCTAGCTCTAGAAATACTGCTTCCAATACAATGCTGCAGCCACTATGGGAGACAGTATGACAATTTCTTAAAAACTTAAAACTAGAAGGACCATTTGATACAGTGGTTTCGCTTCTTGCTACACACCCTAAAAATTGGAAAGCAGGGACTCAGCCATGCTCACAGCAGCATTTTTCACAAGAGCCAAAGGGTGTAAGTAACCCAGGTTGCCATCGGTGGGTAAACAGATAAATAAAATGTGGTCCATCCATACAGTGGAATACTATACAGCCTTAAACAGGAAGGAAATTCTGACCAGGCACAACACGGATGAACCTTGAAGACATCATACTAAGTGAAAGAAACCAGACCCAAAGGGACAAATACTGTATGATTCCACTTACAGGAGGTCCCTAGAGTAGTCAAATCCACAGAGAGAGAAAGTAGAGTGGTGGGTGTCTGGGGCGGGTGGCGGGGAAGAATGGAGAGTTCGTGTTTGATGGGTACAGGATTTCAATTTGGGAAGGTGAAAAAGTTCTGGATAGTGGTGATGTTGCACAATTATGTGAATGTATTTAATGCCACAGAACTGTACATTTAAATATGGTTAAAATTGTAAATTTTATGTTATGTATATTTTACGATAAAAAGTACTTCTTTCATTATTACTACAGCTACTGCTGCTACTACTATTAATACTATGTTACTGCCACCACTAAGTAATGCTGCAGTGCGTACGTGACACAAAGTATCTCCTGTAATTCCTCCGATAATCCTGAAGAAGTAGATACTATTAAGAAGTAGGTAAGGGGCTGGGCCCGGTGGCTTACACCTGTAAATCCCAGCACTCTGGGAGGCCAAGGCCAGATGATTGCTTGAGCCCATGAGTTCGAGACCAGCCTTGGCAATACAGTGAGACCCCTTCTCTAAAAAAATTTTAAAAATTAGCCAGGTATGGTGGTGCATACCTGTAGTCTCAGCTACTCGGGAGGCTGAGGGAGGAGGATTGCTTGACCCCAGGAGTTTGAGGCTGCAGTGAGCTATGATTGCACCACTCCACTCCAGCCTGGGTGACAGAGCGAGACCCTGCCTCTAAGGGTGGAAAAAAAAAGAAGTGGTAGGTAAGGACA
Organism: Homo sapiens; assembly: GCF_000001405.40. Classification (NCBI taxonomy): domain Eukaryota; kingdom Metazoa; phylum Chordata; class Mammalia; order Primates; family Hominidae; genus Homo; species Homo sapiens. The sequence goes on from NC_000012.12 coordinate 111,149,034, forward strand.
CTTACCTACACAAACTTAATAGTATTGCGGTTCAGAGAGGCTAAATCATTTCTCCAAAGTCACACAGCCAGCAGCAAGTGGCCAAACTGGGCCTTACCCACAGGGTGTCTGTGTCTAAGACCCAATCTTCAACCATATCATCCTAGCTAAGCTTGTCCAACCTGTGGCCTAGGACAGCTTTGAATGTGGCCCAACACAAGCTCGTAAACTTTCTTAAAACATCATGAGTTTTGTGGGTTTTTAAAGCTTATCGGCTATTGTTGGTGTATTTTATGTGTGGGCCAAGACAATTCTTCTTCTTCCAAAAGATTGGACACCCCTACCCTAGACCATCCTAGAATGACTGAGGCAGGGTTTTCAACCTTGACACTTTTGACATTTGGGCTGGATAGTCTGTTGTGGGGGGTTGCCTGTATATTGTGGGGTGTTCAGTGGCATCCCTGCCTCTCCCCACTAGATGCCAGTAGCACACCGCCCCCCACAATCCCAAAGTGAAATGACCAAAAATGTCTCCAGATGTTACCAAATGTCCCCTGGGAGGCAAAATCACCCCTGGTTGAAAACCCCTGCTTTAACGGGGGCTTCCTGGCAGTACGGAGGATATTGGACAGTCACTCGTGTTTTAAAGCCACACCAATCCATAGAAATCAATCAGGTTGTGCAAAAGAGGTCATTTGGGGGCAGGGGTAGAGGAAAAATGCTTTCTTTACCTGTTGAAAGTTATTTTTTCACTGGAGTGCACCATCTCTTCACACCCTCTCTCCCTTAAAACGCCAAGACATTTTAAGTTTCCATTTTGGCCTAGGCTAGGCACACCCTTACTTGTAGCCTGAACAGTTTTTCATTTGGAAATTGGTTTATTTTGCTACAAAAAGGTCCTGCTCAGGTCTGGGTAAGTGCACAGTCTGCACACACAGTGGAATTGTAGCCTTTTAGTTAAAGATGTCCAGGACATCCGGACAGTGACTTTGTGGGGTGAATAAAGCCAGGAGTAATACATGATCATTTTGAGAAAATGTACATGTCAGCTGACACATAGAGAAAAACCTGGAAAGATGCAGACCAGAGTGTTCCAAAGGTTTGTCCACTGCTACATTCCCAGCGCCCTGGCACATAGTAGGTGCTTGCTTCATTACTATTTGTCGACAGCTAAATGCGAAGTGGCAAGACAGGGCTGTCAGCTTTCTCTTTGTGTTTTTCTCCATCATTTGAATGTTTTAGAATGAGCATATATTAACTTGATGGGTTAAAAAAATTTTTTTAACCTTCCTCCTCCCCCCAAAAAAGGGCCGGGAAAAAGAAAGAATCATGCCTTGAACTTGCCTAGCTTGTCCTTCCACAGTGCTCCAAACACACATGCCCCTCTTGCCAAAGCCACGCAAAGAAACAAGTCTGGTGTTTTATGATCCTTGTTCAGCTGTGTGTGGGTAACACGGGGCTCCGGGAGAAAGCTGGTTCTTTATTTCTCTCACTTTGGTTTTTCCCCCTTGGGCTTTTGGAGTGGGGGAAACACAACAACAGATGAGTGGGTGTGGACAGGAAGGCAGTTAGGGAAGGGAATAAGGAGCCTGAAATCTTCATCTTACTTCTGCCCCGGGCAGGAGGCAGACGGCTGGACCAAATCACCTCTTCATGAGCAACCAGCGCCTATTTCTGTGGCTTCCTCTTTCTGTAGCTTCAGGATCCTTCCAGAGCTGCCCAAGAGCTGGGAAAAGCCTCGGGGGGTGGGAGGGGTGGGGTGTGTGGAGGCCAGGGAGGAAAATTAGAAATTGGCATCTTTCAGGGAGCAAGTTTCTGGACCACAAAGACGAGAGGTCACGTCATGTTTTATTTTGTTATTATTTCGCAGCAATGGTGGGAGGGGGAAGGAAACCCCCCCAGCCTCCTGATTCCCAACAATTCCAAAGGTCTTTGAGTTTGTACAGTTGCATCTCAAACGTTTTAAAGTTTTCAACTGACCTGATTCCTAGAAAAAGATAAACACCCTTCCTATGTTTGGAGTCATATGTAATTTTTATCTCTTGACCTTTAAATGTAAGCAGCAGTAAAATGAAGAACTATAGCAGTCATTTAACACTCCGGCTGTACTAACTGGTTCCTGCCTGAGAGCCGTGGTTTTAAATTGGCTAATGCAGAATACTTGCAGAGCTAATAATAATTCAGATTATTCCTGTCAGCTATTCCGGTTTCATGGGTAATTTAGTAGTTGAATAAATTTTTAAAAAAATTCATTCGTTACCATGCGCTGTTATGAATCAGTAGATGGTTTACCATTGGCAGCAGTAACTGTAAGAAGATTTAAATTGCTACTGAAAAGGATTTGAGTGAAGGTAATGTTTTATAATGTTCTAAGCCATATGCACTACTTTCAGGCCTCATCAGTTTTACATTGATTCCTAGTGAAGTGTTTAATTGCATCATGAATGCAATATAATTCAGTTCTTTCTGCTAATATGGTATATATCTCAAAGTGATATACAGCACTGACAGGGAGAATTCGCAGTTTCGTCTGGATTTGGGAGGGCAGCGAGAATTGGGCACCTACTGAATGCGTGGAGGGCAGACGGCAGAGGAAGACGACTGACGCTTGGCTCCATCTTGCCGAGACTTAGGGGCGGTGGACTGTGTCTGTCACCGGCTCTCAATGCTGAGGGACAGCCAGAGAGGGATCTGGTGTTAATTGGCCTCCCCTAGGAAGGCAGGGAGATCTCTGTGCTGTCTGGGAGGCTCCTGAGGGCTGGCCAGGCTCGCTCCGGCCATCACAGTCTGATGGTTCGGGCATCTTTGTTTCCAAGCGACTACTGATGATTGGGATTCCTGTTGCTGTTTGTTTAGTCATTCGAGTATTTACTGAGGACCTACTGTGAACCAAGGCCGTCAGTGACCCAGGAGATTGGCCTGGATCGCATCAGTCATTGATTTTGCTAGAAACCTCACGTGCTCTGAAGCAAAGGTTTAAGAAAGACTCAAGGCCGGTGCGATGGCTCACACCTGTAACCCCAGCACTTTGGGAGACTGAGGCGGGCAGATCACCTGAGGTCAGGAGTTCGAGACCAGCCTAGCCAACATGGGGAAACCCCATCTTTACAAAAATACAAAAATTAGCTGGGCATGGTAGCACATGCCTGTAGTTCCAGCTACCTCAGGAGGCTGAGGCAGGAGAATCACTTGAACCCGAGAGGTGGAGGTTGCAATGAGCCAAGATCATGCCTCTGCACTCCAGCCTGGGCGACAGAGCAAGACTCTGTCTCAAAAAAAATAAATAAATAAAATAAATAAATAAAAAGAAAGGCTCAAAACCTCACAGCCCTGGCTGGTAGTGCAGGCAATAGACCTGGGCGAGGTGACCAGACCCTGGGACCTCAGCTCTCAGGGCAAACTGGAGCGCCTATGGCTCATCTAAAGGGACAGTAGCCCCACAGCTCCAGCAAGCACCACCATTGGCCTTGTGTTGGCAGAGTTTTAAATTTCACATGAGAGGCTGGGCCTTGGGGTTTCTATGCAAAATCACCCATTTTTAAAGGAAAATTAAAACATATACACGATGCAGGCCAAACTAAATATGACTGTGTGCATATTCTGCCCGAGGGCCACCTGTTTGCAATGTCTGTTATTGGGCCTGATTCTGCTGTGAAAGCAAAAACCATTTGCTCTTGGGGCCTGAAAAATAGACGCATGTTAGAGGCAGTAGAACTCGCAACGCCTTGGCAGGCAGGGGTGCGGTGCTGCGGGAGCCTTGGATGTGCGTGGGGGACGGGGGAAGGAGGTGTTAGCTTCCCATCTGGCAGTCAGGGACTGGGGACAAGCCGCTCTAGATGGGGCCTGTGAGGCCACTTGCTGCATCTCCAGAAACATAAAGAAGGCACCTTCTGGGAAACAGAACCAAAGAGAGAAGGGACAGTGTGGCTTTGGGCTTGTAAATGGGAGATGCAGGAAAGGCGAGGTGTGATTTCTGCTGGTCAGGAACCCCGCAAAACAGTGGTGGAGATGGGGTGGTTATAGCTGGAGCAAACCTTTCTTTTTGGCTTTTTCTTCTCTGAATCCCGAAAGCCACCCGAGGTTCAGGGATATTCTCACTGGGGAAGGCCCCTGGATTCTAGTTTTAGAGGCATCTCTGGCTTCCATCCTTCCAAACCGCAATGTATGAAAGCTATTGGGCGCCTGCTGAATGCGTGGCATTCTTCCTGGCATTCATTCATTTATTCACTTATTTATTCATTCAATAAGCGTATTATGATAAGCCAGGCACTGTTCTAGGTGCTGGGGATATAGTGGCGACCAAGACAGATTTACAGTCATGCATCACTTGACAACCGGGATACATTCTGAGAAATGCGTTGTTAGTCAGTTTCATTGCTGTTGAACATCATGGAGTGTTCTTACACAAACCTAGACAGTAGAGCCTGCTACACACCTGGACTGTTGCTCCTAGACCACAAACCTGAACATCATGCAACTGCACTGAACACCCTAGGCACTTGTAACTTGTGGTAAGGATTTGAGTATCTAAACATCCCTAAACATAGAAAAGGTACAATGAAAATATGATACTAGAGTCTTATACAATGGAACCACCATTGTATATCCATCCATCACTGAGCAAAATGTCATTATGTGGTACATGACTATACCTGCCCTCTTGGAGCCTCTATTCTACTGGAGACAGACCATAAGCAAACATATAGTTAAGAACACAAATTGGCATCACTTACTACTGATGGCCTCACCCCAGGAATGTATCTCAGTATATTCGTTTGCTAGGTCTGCCATGACCAAGTGCCACACCTGGGTAGCTTACACAACAAGGATTTGTTTTCTCATGATTCCGGAGACCAGCAGTCCAAAATCAAGATGTTGGTCGGCAGCGGCGGTTTCTTCTAAAGCCTCTCTCCTTGGCTTGTAGATGACCACCTTCACGTTCATTTCTTCTGTGTTTCTGGGCCCCAAGTTCCCCCTTTTTACAAAGACACCAACGATACTGGATTGAGGACCACACTAATGAGCTCATCTTAGCTTTTTTACCTCGTTAAAAGACCCTGTCTCCAAATAAGGTCACATCCTGAGTTCTGGAGGTTAGGACTTCACCCATATGGATTTGTGGCAACACAGTTCAGCTCTTAGCACCCCACAGAGAAAGCCAGCCTGTGTGATTGCAGCAGGCTCGCTGGGGCTCTCGGTGAAGGGGACAAGAAAGCAGCACCACATGTAGTGTCACTGGAATGTTCTTTCTGTTAAGTCCCATGAATGATGCAAAAGTCAGATGTGCCTGACGTGTGCATCCCTCCTGGAGCGAGACTTCAGATCCGAGTTCACATGTTTGCGGCAATCTGATTGTCATGCAGTCCACCAGGCAGGAGCCCAGGCCACAGGGCTCCTCCCTCAGCCTGGCGCCACGATGTAATCAGAGCCTTCTTTTCCTCCTCACTCTCGAGGAAGGCCAGCCGGGCCACCTTTTTGATCATCGTAACCTTGACGTGGAAGAATAATTTATCCATGCCCCCAGACAAGGAAATTGCAAAATATTATTTATGAAGGCAAGTCGGCACGTCATAATTCTGGCCCTGCATTTCTGGATGTGTCTGGCCAAGACGGGGAGATGCAGTTGATGTTTGATAATAAAATGGGACCTCGTGCCTGGGAGATGGAGCTGTGCGGGAATCAGAGAGGCAACGGTCTTGCAAGAGAGACTCCAGGGAAGGACTGTTCCAGAAACTGACCTGAATTGTTCTTCTGTGGACTCCCGGGTCAGAAGTGGTAGGACAAAAGTCTCCATGAAAAAGCAGGGAAGCCAGAATGGGTGGGATGTTGGACATCTGTTTGGGGAGGCCAGAGATGTGAGGACCTTCCTTTGGGGATGACAGCCTTGCTTTGGGGCACTTGGGCAGTTGTGTAGCACAGCGGTTGTGAGTCCTGGCTCTGTCACTGCTGCTGTGGTAGGTGCTATGGGGCAAGTCAGGCAATACTTCCAAATCTCAATTTGTTCATCTGTATGATGGGAATAAGAACATATCTACCTTAAGGATTGCCTCCAGGTTAACACGCGATAATACAGGTAAGACATAATTGTCAGTGGGCCTGACTTCAATTAAGTTGAGTGATTAAAGATGCAGCTCTGGAGCTGACAACCTGGCCTGGCATCCCAGCTCTGTTCCTTACTGGCTGTGTGACCTTGAGCAAGTCACTTCACCTCTCTGAGCCTCCATTTTCCTCATCTGTCAAATGGGTACAAAAAGGGTCTCTAGTTCATACAGTAGTCTTGAGGGTTGAATGAATGAATGGAAAAAAAGAGTTTAAAACAGTGCTTGTCTCATAGTAAACGTTCAGCAAATGTTGGCCATTAATATTACTTCCTGGGCCATGATTCTTAGTGCTCTTTCTTTGAAAAGCTTTACTTGGATTTACAAGCACCTTGTCCCATTGCTGATGCCATCAAACAACATGCTTAGTTTAAAAATCCAAACAGACTTGCACTCCCAATGAAAATTGCAAAATTTTGCAAAATTTTCATTGGGAAAATTCCTCTGAGCATTGGAAAGCTTCTCCCAGGGTGATGAGGTTTCTCCCATATGTTCCCAGGGAAACCACCCTAGCCTCTGTCCACTGCAGAGGGAATGGCAGACCCGGACAGCTCTGACTGCCCGATTCACTAAACCGCACACACCAACTCCTGAAAACGCCACCACACGCTCTCAGGCACCAGCCGGAAAGTTCAGCCTGGCAAGTGTTTTGCAACCTCTCAGCATTTTGTGGTTCTACCGAATTAGCGTTTGGTATTGAATTAGTATTCATTTTCTCTAATATGATATAAAAGTATAATCACATTAGTGACTTTTATAGCACATTAGATTGTACATTTGGAACACATCCCTGCCTGAAACAGCTTAAAAAATAAAAAAAAAAAATAAAAATAAAAACCAGCCAACAATAATAACAAGCAAACCCGCTCACAAGCCCTGGCTTTTCCAGCTGGACTGCAGCAACCTGGATAGAAAATTCTTGCTTTCTGCCTCCTGGTCCCTACAGAGAAAGAATTTTCATTCCACCGCCCTGATTTGTGAAGCATTGAGTTTAAGACTTTAATAGTCGTTCCAAATGAATGTTTCTTTAATCCCGGGGCAGAAACGTAGGCTGTGATTGAGATGTAATTAATAGCACTAATTACTCTTCCCTTGCTCTGTATCCTTTCCCTCCTGCCCTCATCCCTGCTTCCCAAGAAACCTGATGGAAGCACCAGGAATGTTCCCCTTTTGCTCTAAGATGTTCCCCTTTTCTTCCTGCCCTCATCCCTGTTCCCCAGGAAACCAGTTAGCAGGCTCAGAGACTATCCCCATTCTAAACTCCTTATTTCGGAATATTTTCTCTGTCTCCCAGTGGTTCCTCCAGGGCTTTCCAGAATGTTTGATTTTCTAGAACCTGTTTTTCAGCCATCCTGGTGACTCAGCCAGTCATGAAGGTGATGCTCTAAAGAAGCAGCAGTCCATCACCTGACCCCTAGCGTCTTTCTCTGCAGTGACAGCCTCACTGATGCACTGGTCCAAACATGGGAAAGACTCCTGAAGGTCCCTGCCACCAGATGCCCAAAGCTGAGGAACCCCATTCAGCAGCCTGGTGAGCCCAAAGCACAACCTTAGCAAACCATTTTCCACTACAAAAAGTAAACAAAGCCGAGTGCGGTGGCTCACGCCTGTAATCCCAGCACTTTGGGAGGCTGAGGCAGGTGGATCACTTGAGATCAGGAGTTCCAGACCAGCCTGACCAAAATGGTGAGACCCCATCTCTACTAAAAATACAAAATTAGCCAGGAGTGGTGGCGCATGCCTGTAATCCCTGTAATCCCAGCTACTTGGGAAGCTGAGGCAGGAGAATTGCTTGAATCCAGGAGACGGAGACTGCAGTGAGCCAAGATTGTGCCACTGCACTCCAGCCTGGGCAATAAGAGCAAAACTTCTCTCAAAAAAAAAAAAAAAAAAAAAAAACAGAAACAGAAACAAAAAACAGGAGTAAAACACTTTGTACATATTATGAAAGAAAATAAGCTGATCAAGGGGGCTACACTGATTTTTTTGCACACTGCTTCATTCCCAAATAGTCAGAGATGGGTAGAATCGCCCAGTATCAGAACAGACTTTGAGGGAGGCTGCATTTTGCATGCTAACCCTGAGAATTCACTGGCAGCTTCCTGGAGCTCTGCGTTGACAAGGATTCTTAGACTGCATTCTAGATCAGCAAAAGAGAGCCTCATTCAATCTATAAACATTTTGGAGCACTTACTATGTGCCAGGCACTAGTTGGGAGAGGCTGGTAATAGATACTAAAAGACCAGCTCATGCAAAACTCAAGCACAGGATAGAGTTGGCATCTTATTCTGAATGCATTGAGAAGCTATGGGAGGATTTTCCTTGGGGAAGTGCTAGGATCTGGTTTATGTTTCAAAGATTACAGCTTTAAAAAAAAAATCACTCTAGGTTGTGTATAGAGAATCAATGGAAAGGAGGAAGGAAGAGATGCCAAAAGGCCAGGTTCAAGGTTATTGCAGGTGAGGATGGGTGATGGATAAGAATTTATTTGATTTGGGCTTTACATGAAAAGTCCAGTTGACCAAATTCATCGATGGTTTGGATTGCAGCATAGGAGTTGGTGATCCATTAGTAATGTCTACCATGGACACGGGAGGTGGCAGTGAGCATGCACATGCTACATATTTGTTATCTCTGCCTCATAAGTCATTCTTAGGTTGATGAGAGGGAGTGGGGAAGATGAAGAATCACTTAGGGATAGTAGTGTATAGCTTTAGCAACAGCTACAGATATTCCAGGAGATGTATTTGAAGAGGAATGTTCACTGGCCATTCCTGCAGACATTAAGCAAAGACATGGATTAGCACAACATCCATGAGACCACATGAATGCCATGTTGTCTCCACCTGAAATTGTTTAGGAATCAGTAAAGCAACTGGGACCCTCAGAAGATGTAAAAATTAAACCAAATCCCTGGAGAGATGTGCAAAGGACCAATGTGATTCCACAGAGACGCAATCAGGAAGGTTCAAAGAAAAGAGGCAAGGCAGGAGGCCAACGATGGAACGGATAATAGAAAAACAGTTTTCAATTATGTCAGGTGAAAACGGAGGATCAGGGATAGTCCCCTTCCCCCTCTCTTCCTCACCTCACAAACAGGAAGGACCTGGTAAGGATGGGTGGGGTGTGGAGAGCAAATAGCAAATGACCTACTGGAAGCACCTTTGATTTTTTGTTGTTGTTTTCTGTCAATCCCCATCTTTTAAGAAGAATGAGCTCAAGTGCGGTGGCTCATGCCTATAATCCCAGCACTTTGGGAGGCCAAAGTGGGAGGATCTCTTGAAGCCAGGAGTTTGAGGTCAGCCTGGGCAACAAAGTGAGACCCAGTCTCTACCAAAAAAAAAAAAGAATTAATTTTTATTAAAAAAAAAAAAAAAAGCTCAGCCATGATCAGACACTTGGAGAAAGTATGCCATTGTGTGAGTGGGCAGTGCAAAGATAGCCTGGGCTGGGGAAGGGAATGGGACTCTGGGGAGGAACAGCTGTTTTGAAAGCCCGGAGCATCTGCATGAAGATGGGTGACAGCAGCCTGGGGACCCTGCATGTTTTACACGATTTAAAACAAAACAAAAAAATCCTTTAGGAGAAGGGAAATGTTGTGAGATTATTATATTGAATAGGGCTATAAATGTAATTAAAACTTTCTACTTAAAGAAAAAAAAAGATACGAGGGCAGTCTGTGATTTTTGGCCCGGTCAGCCCAGCTTCCCTTCCTGGGAAGGGTCTAGAAAAAAGCTGTCAAATCATGAGCCAGTCTCTGCCCATGTACTCTTGGATGTAACAGCAGCAGTGTGGCCTTGGGAACAACACTCAGCCACAGAAAAACTTATTTCCTTCATGGACAGACAGGCTGGTCGTGAACACAGAGGGGCGCAGGAAATGGGAGCAAGGTGCTGTCCCTCAGGCCTGGGAAGGGGCTGTGTGGACCCCCATTTCTCAAGCCCAGCTGGTGTTCCGATCCCTCATCCCACTCAGACAGGTGTTGATAGTACCCACCTGAGAGCCCAACCCAGCTTCTCCTGCCAGGATTTTGTTGTTGTTGTTGTTGTTGCTGGAAACAGGGTCTTGCTCTGTTACCCAGGCTGGAATGCGGTGGCGCGATCGTAGCTCGCTGCAACCCCAGCCACCTGGGCTCAAGTCATCCCGCCTACCTCAACCTTCAAAGGTAGCTGAGATTACAGGTGTGCGCCACCATGCCCAGCTGTTTTTTTTTTTTTTCCTAGAGAGAGGGGTCTCACTACATTACCCAGACTGGTCTTGACCTCCTGACCCCAAGCAATGCTCCTGCCTTGGCCTCCCAAAGTGCTGGAATTACAGGCATGAGCTACTGAGCCCAGCCACCTGCAAGGATTTTAGAAATACTTCCCAAGGGTTCTGAAGCTGGACCAGTTTGAGAACATTTTTGGGTAGCTCATTTAAAAATATTAATTTTTTAAGGATGCATTATTTCATAAGCAACTGATCTGTAATTTTTAAAAATCAAGACATTAAAAATGATTTCAGAATAAACAATGAGTCTCCTGAACTTCCAGCCCCCTTCCGGCTATTCACATACTTCTTATTTGTTTTCTCAGGACATTTTGACCCATAGGCAAGCATGCAAGTGCAGCCCTATTTAAAAACAGAAAAGGAGGCCAGGCGCAGTGGGTCACGCCTGTAATCCCAGCACTTTGGGAGGCCAAGGCGGGTGGATCACCTGAGGTCAGGAGTTTGAGACCAGCCTGGCCAACATGGTGAAACCCCATCTCTACTAAAAATACAAAAATTAGCCAGGGAGGGTGATGCACACCTGTAATCTCAGCTTCTCTGGAGGCTGAGGCAGGAGAATCGCTTGAACCCGGGAGGCAGAGGTTTCAGTGAGCCGAGATTGTACCACTGCACTCCAGCCTGGGCGACAAAGTGAGACTATCTTAAAAACAAAACAAAACAACAACTACAAAAAAAGCAAAAGGAGTTAGGGGATGATTCCTTCTTTCCTTCAATATTCATTGAGCTCCTGCTGGGTGCTGGGCGCTGGGAATACAGCAATGAACAGAAGAATGTCTCCTGGGACAGGCAGCATAGGACGGGGCTAGGGGGACATTTGCTAAGCATGTCAACAAGTTGTGATAGAAGAATTACAAATTGTGATTCTGCAAAGAAACAGCATGCCATGGTTTGGAGGGCTATTAAATGGACCCCCTAAGGCTGAGGAATCAGACCAGTCAGAGATAGGTGTGTCTGGCCTGTGTGTGCAGGGTGCGTGTCAGAGTGTGTATGGGCAAGCATGTGTGTGCGGGCATCTGGGCGTATTCGGGACGTGTGTGTAGTGCAGGGTGTGTGTGAGTGTGTCTGAGCCTTCATCTCTGTGCCTGTGTGTCTGCATGTGCACACGTGCAGTGTGTCAGGGAGGGCCCTTCCTGGTCCAAGAACTCGCGTGACCCGGCACAGAGGGGGCGCGAGATGCGAGCAGGGAGCAGGGTGGCACTTGGCTGTGGAGGTCTCCTTGGCCACACGAAGGGGCCTGGGTTTTTGTCTCCATGTCCAGGGAGCCAATGGAGGGCTATGCAGAGGAGTGACGCAGTCCAGTGGCATTTTCAGGGGATTCCTCTGGAACAGCACCGTGGGGGGCAGGCGGTGGCCTGGAGGAGGAGGCTTGGTGACAGAAGATGGCTTGGACTTGGCCTTAGGAGTGGGGCTGATGGGGCTTGCGGTGATGATGTAATGTGTCGGGATGGAATGAATGAAGATGACTCCCGGGCTCCTGGCCTGAACAGCTGGGTGGACTCCGTGCCGCTTCCTGCCATGGGGAAGATGCAGGGAGGAATAGCGGGAGCAGATGGGACGTGAGAGTGCAGAGTTCCCTTTTGGCTATGGGTTTGAAACCTGAGATGCCCATGGTCTCCCAGAGGGGTTATCAGGTCCGCAGTGGGTGGGTGGTGGAGCTCAGAGACCTGGGGGCTGGAGGTGAGCCCTGGGCTTGACCACAGACGGGGCAGACTGTGTCTCCTTGGCTCAAAGGGCCAGCCCTTGCCTGGCTGCCCTGGGCTCTGAGCCAGAGCCCTGGATCACTGGAAGGGTACTTAAGCATGGCCACTTTATCCCCATCAGCTGTCTCAGCACAGCCCCTGGGCTCTGATGGGCAACACCCATTAAAGGGATGCACCCTCTGGGGACTCAGCCCAAAATGAACCAGAATCACAGCAGCAGGGCTCCATAGGGCTGGGGGATCATGAGGTTGGTTCCCCCAGCATTGAGGCCTCAGAACACTGGGTCACCTCCCTGGAGGCTGGGACCAGCTTCCCAGAGTGGTTCATGTCACGCTTATCTCAGAAAATAAGGACACACTTTGTTACTGAAACACTCTCTTGCATGCCTTGGTTGATGGTAATCCTAACAGCTAATGTTGAGTATTTTACTGTGTGTCCGCCCTGACTACCTATTGGCTCAGTTAATCCTCACAACAACCCCAAGAGGAAAGTTCTACAATTACTCTCATTGTACAGATGAGGAAACTGAGGTTCAGCAAAATAGTAGTTGCACAGCAGTATGGTGTAGACAGGACTGAAACAGGGCAGTTCAACTGCAAAACCCGTTCTCTTAGCTCTCACACTCTATGCTGAGTGTCGCTGGATGCCATTTCTTTTCTTTTTTTGTTTTCTTGAGACAGGGTCTCACTGTGTCACCCAGGCTGGAGTGCAGTGGCACGATCACAGCTCACTGTAGCCTCAACCTTCCAGGCTCAAGCAGTCCTCCCACTTCAGCCTCTCAAGTAGCTGGGACTACAGGCATGCGCAAACATACCCGGCTGATTTTTGTATTTTTCTGTAGAGACAGGGTATCCCCATGTTGCCCAATGTGGTCTCGAACTCCTGGGCTCAAGCGATCCTCCTGCCTTGGCCTCCCAAAGCACTGGGATTACAGGCATGAGCCACCGCACCTGGACAGGATGTCATTTCTTAAAGTCACTTCAGCAGGGGCGTTACTGTTATGCCCATTTTACAGAGGGGGAAAGCTGAGGCCCAGAGAGAGAAAATGCTTTGCTTAGAGTCGCACCACTAGTAAGCGGCATTGCCGGGCCTGGTGTGAAGCCCTGAACTCTCTCTCAGAGGTGAGAACTGCCCCTGGCCACCAGCCCCTGCCTTCCTCCACTGGAAGTGAAAGTCTCTGTTCCCCTACCCCAGCCCAAAGTATTCCAGTGACTGCCACGGGTGGGAGGTGGGGTTTCGTCCTTGGAGCTGTGGGCTTCTCAGAGCTCTGGGACCAGAGCTGGTGAGATCCTGTTGCAAGAGAAGCAGGCTTATCACGGGAGCCTGTGCATGGAGCCCTGGTGGGTGGGCTAAAGCCCATGTTGGATTGCAGCTGTATTGAAGCCCCACTGCTGGGATGTGCGGCCTTGGCCCACTTTGGGGGCTTGAGCCACCCTGTCCAGGAAGAACTCAATGGCTCACTGGGACAGCTCTCTCCATCACAGCGATGATGGGACAGTGCTGAACAGCTCACAAGCAGAGGAAGCTCTGTGGGTAATTGACTACTTGTTTTAGCAAGTGCGTGTATGTTTCTTGAACCCATAATTGGAAACTCACACCCTAATTTAGACACCTACCTACTGAAGCTTCCAGAAGACCCTTGCTTGATTAGCAGAGAGACGAAGAGCATAGAATTTGGGGTAAGGGCCAGGTGTGGTGGCTCACGCCTGTAATCCCAGCACTTTGGGAGGCCAAGGCAGGCAGATCACCTGAGGTCAGGAGTTCGATACCAGCCTGGCCAACATGGTGAAACCCCATCTCTAATAAAAATACAAAACCTAGCCAGGCATGATGGCAGGTGCCTGTAATCCCAGCTGCTCGGGAGGCTGAGGCAGGAGAATCGCTTGAACCTGGGAGGCCGAGTTTGCAGTGAGCCGAGATCCTACCACTGCACTCCAGCCTGGGTAACAGAGCAAGACTCTGTCTCAAAAAAAAAAAAAAAAAGGAATTTGGGGTCAAGCTGCTGAATTCGAATCTCAGCTCTGCTGCTGACTGGCTGCCTGACCTTGAGCTTGACCACTCCTAACCTCTTCATGCCTCAGTTTACCCACCTCATAGAATTGTTGTAAGAAGCAAACAAATGCTTAGAACTATATCTGGCATATAGTACTCACTTGGAGGCTGTTAGTTAAGTATTATTGACGGCATTGCTGTCTAAAATAGGTTTTTCTGCAAATGGCCAGACAGTAAATATTTTCTGCTTTACAGGCCGCATGGTCTGTGTTGCAATGACTCAACCATTGTAACCGAATAGTGACGGTGGACAGTACCTCAATGAATAGATGTGGTTGTGCTCCAGTAAAACTTCGCTGTGACTTATATATGAGCCTGGGGGAGAAAAGTGTTTTTACCTGCGGGAGGATGTAACCCTAGGGCTGTCAGCAGCCATTGTCCCTCCATTCCTGGAGGAAGCCAGCCATGGTAAGAGAGAAGAAGGACAGCTCACAGGGGGTCAGATCCAACAGAAAGAGATCAAACCCTGCCAAGGTTGTTTGAACTGCTGGATCCAGCCATACCTGAAACTACCTTGGCACCGTTTGGCTATATAAGCAGCAGTTTCCTTTTTATGCTTAAGCCACTTTGCATTAGGCTGCTGCTGCTTACAACTTGAAGAGTGCCAAATAATACAGGACTCTTCTCCTTCATCCCCCTGAATCCAGCCAGGAGGAGTCACTTGCCCACTTATTTCTGCTGACTCACGCCCACCCATGCTTGCCAGGGGTCAAGTTACCCAGGGGCGTTCCTTAGTCCCCAACATAGAACCATGCCCCACACCTACTTTTCCTCTAGGAGTTTAAATCATTTCTCTTTTCTTTTCAAGGTTGTATAACCTTGAGCAGGTGACTTTGTCTCCATGAACCTTAATCCCTTCATCTGTCAAATGGGGCTAATCATTGGACCTAGGGCATAGGGTGAGTTAAAAAGATTAAATGGATTAATATCTCTATAGCACTTAGAACAGTCCCTGGCATGTAGTAAGTACTGTCTAAGCATATGCTGTTATTATAATACTACCTGGAAACTGAACTCACAGACTCTCTGGGGGTTTTCCTGCAAAATGGAGGGAATTGTCAGCTCCCTGAGGCTGAGATTAGGGCTTCCCATATTCCCAGCACCCTTCCAGGCCTGGTATTGAGGGGACACTTGGTGTTTGTTGAGTAGGAGTTAGAACAGGGGCGGGACATGGTGGCTCATGCCTGTAATCCCAGCACTTTGGGAGGCTGAGGCGGGTGGATTACTTGAGGTCAGGAGTTTGAGACCAGCCTGGCCAACATGGTGAAACCCCGTCTCTACTAAAAATACAAAAATTAGCTGGGCGTGGTGGCACGTGCTTGTAATCCCAGCTACTTGGGAGGCTGAGGCAGGAGAATCACTTGAATCTGGGAGGTGGAGGTTGCAGTGAGCAGAGATTGTGCTATTGCCCTCCAGCCTGGGCAACAGAGTGAGACTCCATCTCAAAAAAATAAAAAAGAAAAAAAAAGAGAACAAGCAAAAGACAATAACAGAAAGTGAGCATGAGGGATCCACACAAATTGGATCAGCCCCCCAAGGTGTTCGTAGTTAGAAGTCACGCAATAATTGCTTTGGGAGTTTATGAAACCTTGAGGCACAGAGGAATGTTAGGGGTCCCATGAGCAATTTGGGGATGTGAATGTTGGGGATTCACATCCTCACTGCTAACAGTGTGATGTTACAGTGTGGTCCACAGTAGAACTGAATTGCTCATTAGAAATACAGAGACTTGTCCCTGCCTGTACCCCCTGTAGCAGAATCTGTACTTTAACAAGATCTCCAGGTGACTCGTGTGAAAATTAAAGTTTTAGGGCCAGCCATGGGGGGGAGAGGAGGAGGACAGATCAGAGGGAAGCAGAGCCAAGAGACAGAAATCAAACCCTGCGAATAGCATTTGAACTGCTGGATCCAGCCATACCTGAAGCCACCACTCCACTGTTCAATTATATGAGCAATGGATTCCCTTTTTTTCTTAAGCTACTTTGTAGATGCTGTCAGAAGGGCCTCTGTGTCGTAAGGGACTAGGGGCTATTTATGCGGGTAAGGATGGGGTGGAGGCTATGATCCTATATGCCATTTTATTAGGAAAACATTTGGTGTTTAGCTCTCTGGGTAGGGAAGAGATGCATCTTTCTGCCCCCTGAGAAAAGAGAAGTAGGAAGGTCATGGAGGGCCATGGTGACCCACATGGCAGGACGTCTTCAGAGCCAAACCAGAGTGACCTCATTGAGGCAGTGGCCTCCAGAAGTTGTCAAACAGAGTTAAGCACAGAAGATGCAAGGGTTTGGTGGAGAGTGGACACAGACTGTCGTCTGTCTCTACCAAGACGGTCAGTGTTATTGTCTCATGGCGGGGAATTTGGGCCACGTGCAGAGAACATGAACTTTAAAATCCACACAGAACTGGACTCAAATTCTGGTGCTGCTGCCACTTGCTCACTGTATGACCCTGGGTGAAGAAATATGTGTATCTGGGCCTCATTGTCCTTGTCTACAAAATGGGGGTAAAAATAGCACTGACCTCATTGGGATGTGGAGAGTGTTCGTGCAGCAGTGACCAGAGCTGGTGGGTGAGAACCAGCTATAAGCATCGCCTCCCAGCTCCACGTGTAGTGACATCACAGCAGGGCTTGAAATTGACCATGGTGGGAAAATGTACACCATGGAAATGGTAAATATCAGAATTTGTCCTTTTTCTCCAGAGAGCTGGTTGTTTAACATTTACCAGCATCCTACTGGTGAAATGCCAAGACGTATTTAAATTGCTATCCACAGTGTTTGGTGGTGGTGATTACTAATTACGATTATATTAAGCATGTTACTCTAATATTACTAATATGAAATGGTTTTCATGATTGCGCTTTCAGTGTGTCCACTTTGACTCTTTTTTGTTGTTGTTGTTTTTATAGACTGGGTGTCTCGCTGTCACCCAGGCTGGGGTGCAGTGGTGTGATCACGGCTCACTGCAGCCTCAACCTCCTGGGCTCAAGTGATCCTCCTGCCTCAGCCTCCTGAGTAGCTGGGACTATAGGTGTGCACTATCACACCTGACTAACTTTTTTCATTTTTTTGTAAAGACGAAGTCTCGCTATTGTTGCCCAGGCTGGACTTGATCTTCTGGCCTCAAGCGATTCTCCTGCCTTAGCTTCCCAAAGCACTGGGATTACAGGCGTGAGCCACTACGCCCAGCCTGCGACATTTATTTTAACTGCTTGGAAGCCTTTTCTTCTAACCCTCTGGCTCCTAGCTCCATTCTGGAAAGCTGACATTATCAGTTAGCTGAGTTCTGAGTAGACGACATACCGTAGATGGTAATACCCAAACTAACATTTATTGAGCATGGACTAAGTGCCAGGCACTGGAAAAGCACTTCCTGCAGATATTCTCATTTAACCCACCCAACAACTCTATGAGGTATGAACCCCATGTTGTGAACACAGCCCGAGGCTCAGAGAAGTTAAGTGACTTGCTCTGGTTTGCACAGCTGCTTGATGGAGGGGCCAGGCTTTGAACCCTCGCATTTTGACTGTAGAGTCTGTGCTTTCATCAGGAGGATCTGCAGAGGCTAAACGTGGAAGGGGCCGGTGTTTGGTCCCTGAGAGTGGACCCTCCTTGCTGGGAGGCTTGGGCGGGGGTAGCGGACACTGCCCAGGACCGAGAAGTCCTGACGGCATCATCTGCTTGGCGAACAGCAACCGTCCAACTTTCTGGGACGCGTGCCGGCCGCATTCTGATTGGCGAGGGGATGTCTCTGTTGGAAGGGAATCTTGGCCACTTGCCCCTTGGCAGCAGGCTGCTGGCTGCCACGTGGAGTGCCGTTTGGAGGCGGTGGGAATTATTCGGCAACCTTGCCTGGGATAGCTTGGAATGGATTGTGGCAGGGCAGGGCGGGGGCTCTGCCAGTCTCCTAGACAGGCTGGCAGGGAGAGCGAGAGCGCCAGCACTGTCACAAGAAGCTCACAGTCTCAGCTTCTGCACTGTCCTCCCTGCCCCTGTCTGTCTCTGTCTCTTGCTATCCCTTGGCCTCTCTTTCTGCCAGGACTTGAGCTGACAGGTGGTTTGGCACCAAGGGAAGCACCATCCCCTGTCCCCACAGGCCTTCTTTCCTTCACCTGCACTGAAGCTTAGGGGCTTTTGCTTCTTCCACTGTTCCCTATTTCCATCGAGATAAAGTTCACACTCCTTGACTTGGCTCGAAAACCTCTTGTGATATGACCCCTGCCTCTCGGTTCTGTAGCTTGTGCCCCTAAGTAGACCATGGGCTTCTCGAGGGGGAGGGCCTGTTTCATCCTCAACTTTTTATTTTTCTGTAATGCCTAGCCCAGAGCTCACTCAGAACAAGTGGGTGAACTTGAAAGGCAAGGAGGGGTGACCCCCGTCCATGGTAGAAGGGACCGAGTCACTTCAGGATTTGCAGTCATAGCCTGTGCTGCATCTTAAGGCAGATTTACCACGTTGTCAGATGCCATGCAAAGCTCTAAGTTTTTTCTGTTCCTATCTCATTTAATCCTCCTAACAATCCTATTAGGTTGGCCCTGGGTTTGTTTGTTTGTTTGTTTGTTTGTTTGTTTGTTTCTTTTTTGAGATGGAGTCTTGCTCTGTTGCCCAGGCTGGAGTGCAGTGGCATGATCTTAGCTCACTGCAACCTCTGCTTCCTGAGTTCAAGTGATTCTCATGCCTCAGCCTTCTGAGTAGCTGGAATTACAGGTACACGCCACCACGCCCAGCTAATTTTTGTATTTTTGTAGAGAAGGGGTGTCACCATGTTGGCCAGGCTGGTCTCGAACTCCTGACCTCAAGTTAACCACCCACCTCTGCCTCCCAAAGTGCTGGGATTACAGTTGTGAGCCACTGCGCTCAGGGTACGCCCTGTTTTATCCCCATTTTACAGAGGAGGAAACTGAGGCACAGAGAGATCACCTAGAGAGGGCAGTGATAAGATTTGAACTCAAGCCAGTCCGGAGCCAAGCTGGCTGGAGTGAAGTCTTTCTAAACTGCCCTGACAGATGTGCACCGTCTCAGCGCCGTTCCTCCCCAACCCATTTCCTGAGGCCTCATCAGACAGCAACCCAGTTTGTGGCTCCTCACCTCACCCCAACTCTGCTGTGTTCACACATCCTTGATGAATTAACCTGGGCAACACCAGCCCTGCCTGTCACACTGATAAAGGTAGAGCTGTGGAGATCTGGGTTGCAGAAGATGTCACAAGCCCTTCTCTCTGCCTGTCACCTGTCCCCTGCAGATTCCAGGGCTGCTCAGAAGTTTTGGAGAATAGCTGGAATGATCCTTATTGATCTGATGGGTGGGTGTTTGGAAACAAGGAGAGACGCACTAAGTTGGTTCCTTCCAAGCAGGACCTCCCACCACACCAGAACCTCGTCCCGTCGGTCAAGGGTGGCCCATGTGGCTCAGCATGCTGGGGACTGATTGTTTCCACGTTCCCTAGCTCTGCCTGACAACAGAGCGACATTCCTGTGCCATCACAGGGGAGAGTCGCATTGTGTTAGTGACTCCCCATCAAACTGTGTCATATTGGGATTGTATTGTATTCATAGTTGTTTCCACTAATGTGATATGAAAGTTACTAATCGGAGAAGACTCCTGCATTGTATTAGGGAAAACAAATATTAATATGAGTCGATGGAAGTAGCTAATAAGAAACGCAAGTTGCTAATAGGACATGATGGATCAGTGGGAGGAATTTGGGTCGGGTGCTTGAACTTTTGTGGAATGCTCAGCCGGGTGGGGGTTGCAAGATGGCAGGAACTCTATGTTATAGTCGCTCAGAGTATGAAGGTCCATATCAGAGCCCCCTGCCTGCCCCCTCCCCCCACTGTCATCACTACCCCTCCATCTCACCTCTGTCCTGCATTGAATGGCATCCGCCAAAATTCATGTCCACCTAGAACCTCAGGGTATGACCTTATTTAGAAACAGGGTCTCTGCAGGTGAAATCAGTTAAGATGAGGCCATACTAGAGTAGGGTGGGCCCTAAATCTAATGACTGATTGTACTTGTCAAAAGGCCACATGAAGACAGGGACACTCAGGGAGAAAGTCATGTGATGACAGAGGCAGGGATGGGAGCGATGCCACAAGCCCAGCAACACCAAGGATGGCCGCGACCACCAGCAGCTGGAGGTGGCGAGGAAGGACCCTCCCCTGGAGCCTGCAGAGTGAGCGCAGCCCTGCCAGCCCACACCTTGATTTCAGACTTCCAGCCTCCAGAAGCGGGAGAGAAGACATTCCTGTTGTTTTAAACTCCCCTAGTTGGTGGTAATTCATCACAGCGTCCGTAGGAACAGAACCCCCTTTCCCCACCATGCCCCAGAAAAGCAGGGATGGCCACAACCATACTCGTTTTATTCAAAGATAGCCAATCGGATCAGGGACATTCTTCCACCCTCAGCGGGTCGGCCTGGCTGCCTAACCAGCCCTGAGGATGGAGGGCTGGCTCTCTCCCTGACTTTGTTCTTTTAAAGAGGAAAAAGCCTCCTCAGTGGCAGGGTGGTTGGCATATGGGCTCCGCAGCCTGCTTCGCGTCACGTTAATATGTGATTAAAGGGGTCTTAAAACGCCCATTAGTCCCCCTCTGGTATCTAATAGCGCTTTTGGATTTAGAACAGAATATTATTTACTCATTAGCTGATAATAGACCCTGAGTACACGCCTTATGTATTGGGACAATTATTAGAGTCGATTACACACAGAGACGTGGTTCTGCTGGGGTGGCTGGTGGCAGGCCAGGGTGGTCCAGAGGGCATGAGGGTGGCAGGGAATGACTATGGGCCATATGTGGACAGCAGGGAGCCCGCTAGAGATTGTGTGTGGCAGCTGTGGATGGAAGCAAATTCCCTGTGCAAACAGGGCCACTGGATGCCCCATGCAAGGTACTAGGGGGAAGAATTTAAGGAAACTGCCTCCAAGAATTGGGGTGCCAACAGTAACAGCCCCTATGCAGCAGTAAGGGATTGCACTTGAGCATTCGTCCTGAGTCTCCCAGGATGAGAGTATTAAGAACAATAACTGGCCAGGCGTGGTGGCTCACGCCTGTAATCCCAGCACTTTGGGAGGCAGATCACCTGAGGTCGGGAGTTCAAGACCAGCCTGACCAATATGGAGAAACCCCTTCTCTACTAAAAATGCAAAATTAGCCGGGAGTGGTGGCACATGCCTGTAATCCCAGCTACTCGGGAAGTTGAGGCAGGAGAATCACTTGAACCTGGGAGGCAGAGGTTGTGGTAAGCCAAGATCATGCCATTGCACTCCAGCCTGGGCAACAAGAGCAAAGCTCCGTCTCAAAGAAAGAAAGAAAAAAAAAAAAACTGCCCCCACCGTGGATCACAGGATAGGGTGATGTGCCCAGGATACACAGCTAGGAAGTGACTGAAGCTGGATGCACACCCCCAGCTCTTCTTTTTTTTTTTTTTTTTTTTTTTTTTGAGACGGTGTGTCACTCTGTCACCCAGGCTGGAATGCAGTGGCACGATCTCAGCTCACTGCAACCCCTGCCTCCTGAAACCCAGTTCTTCTGATGACAAAGCCTGGGTTCTTTTCAACATCCTCTCCACTTGCTGCAGAAACTGCTCAATGATTCCAGTCTTCCCCATTCTCCGACAGAAAGAGGAACTTTGACATCACTTCCTCTTATGTGTGGTGTGTTGGAAAGATGAAAATAGCAGGTTGTTCCTCTCCGTGGCTGGGTCCCTGACCTCGGGCCCAGCGTGGTAGGAAGGCCGAGGTGGAGGGAATAAGCATGTGGAAGCCATGGGAGTGTCTCCTGGGAAGCGGGAGAGATTAAGGAGGGATGGACCGGGCCCATGTCTGGCATCGGCAATTCTGGTCAAGGTGCATGGGAATGGGAGGGGAGTGGGGAAGCGCCAGGTAGGGTCCAGCAAGGTGTTCTGGTTGCCCTGGTGATGCCTCTTGGGCTGTGACCCAGAGTGGCGTTGGCATCCAAGGAGAGAATAGGTGCTGGTAACACCTGGAGTCATCCCAGCAGGTGTCAGTGGCTGATTCCACTTGGGGGTGACAGAGATGGAGAAGTTGGGCAACCCCCAGTCTGATGGACGGGGTGCAGAGTATGGAAGGAAAGCCTCGAGTTTGACCTTCACACACACCTTGACCTTGTTGGCAAGCCCGATCTGCAGGTCATCAGTTTGCAGTGATTTTGCCAGTGAACACCTGAGCCCCTTAGTGCATTGTGCAGCCTGCTGAGAGCACCAAAAACCTCCCCTTAATACCCAGACTCACTGCGGCTTTTCTGAGACCGGCCAGAAGGACAGACGAGAGGGGTTTCTTATGCACCAGTGGGAGTGGGTCTCTCTCTGACCCAATGCAAGCAGCCCGGAGACATCTTGCTTCCTTGTTTCCATGGCTTGTGGGGAAACCCCGGTCCCGTGTCCCTGTGCACGCAGATGGCTAGTGGCTCAGTGGGTCTCCGGAGCACAGCCACCTGACACATCTGGGGCTATGGGACGGAAAAGCCCAGAGTGCCCTCTCTGAGGAGTCATCCCAGCCTGTGGCCACAGTGATGCTGAAGGGGTTTGCAGGCCATAATTAGGGGCTCAGTGTCACCTTTGTCCAGTGCCTGAGCTGAGAACAGGGCTCCCTGGTGAAAGAATGGCAGGGTCCCTTTTCGCCTCCCGGGGAAGGAGCCGGAGAGAAGGCAGAGCTTGGGAAATTGGCCCTCTGTCTTCTCCCATCCAGATATGTGGGTCCTGGGCCTTACCTGTACCAAATAAATAACCCATTTCCCAATGGGCAGGCAGCATATGCACTCTCTGTGTGTGCGTGTGCCTGTGCCTGTGTACACGTGCGTGTGTGTGCGTGCATGTGCATGCACCTGTGTGTGTGTGCATGTGCCTGTGTGTGCGCATGTGTGTGCATATGCCTGTGTGTACCTGTGCCTGCGTATACATGTGCATGTGCACACGTGTGTGCATGCACCTGTGCGTATGCATGTCTCTGCGTGTGCATATGCTTGTGTGTGTGTGTGCATGTGCCTTTGTGTGTGCATGTGCCTCTGTGTGTGTGTTTGTGTGTGTATGTGCATGTGTGTTTGCCTGTTTTTTAATAAAGCTCACCAGGAGCCAGATATCAATTTCTGTCAGAGAGACGCAGAGCATCTGAACCAGAACTAAATAAAAATAAACATTAAACAATTATTGGAATTTAGGTTTATTTAAAAAATCAGCAGGGTTGAGGGAACCAGCCACCCATTAGCGAGGCAGAACTATCGGGCCTTTTAACAACCCGCTGGTTCTTGGCTGCCAGAGAGATTTGGGCTGTCCAAGCTGTAGAAACTCCAGATCCTATTGATTAAAGATGATGCAGTAACGAACAAATTATATCATCGTGGCTGCTTGTGGTGCTGGCCAACACTGGCTACCTGTTTGTCTTGATGGAAATGGCTCTATCTGGGGGACTCCGGGAGGGTGGTTCAGTGTCCCCATCCCAGCCAGCGCTTTCCACTCTGTGCAGTTCCTGCAGCTGGGTGGAGGCTCCGAACCTCGAGCTGTCTGGGGTTCTTGTGTTTTTCTCCTCTCTGTCCCTTCCATGGACATCTGTAGTTTAAAAGGAGTCTGTGTCTTGTCAACCAAATCAATGCAAATAACCAGTGAACGTTTCTCGACTTTTCAGTAATAATTGATCTTCCCAGAACTGATATCGTTTGGAAAACGTAAGTAAGGAGATCAGCAGTGAGCCAGATGTCCACACTAAGAGAATATAACTGCTCTGAGTTATAGGAAAAGAAATGATTTCCCTTCCAGCTTTAGCTCCAAGAGCTGAGCAAACTGCCGTGCAGCATCGAGAAGCTTCCAATAAACTCGGGGCTTAGTTCGAGGCAGCCTCAGCCTCTCAGCCAGAAGACTTGGGTGAGTGCGGGACTGGAATCTTCCAAGCTGATGGGCAGACTTCTTGCCTGCAAATTTTTGGTCTCTAGGTTTTTATCTGGAAGCTGTCTGCACAGCCAGTTGCTGTCAGGGAGAGAGAGGTTTGTTGTTCTTCTTGAGGGATGTTCAGGCTTAGACCCTGAGCTGGGCATCTACTGCGTGGGAGTCTCCCCTTGGCTGGTTCTTTGGTTGATGTTCTTGTTGTTCTAATTTGATGGTCATTCCCATACATTGCTGTGATTGGCTCCTGACTTGACCAGGGTGATACTCAGAAAGTCAAATGGGGACGGGGACAGGGTTGATCTGTGGGCTGGTGGATGGAAAATAGGATGCCAGGGGGCACTTTCTTTATGAACACTGTCATTCTTCCAGAACTCATTCATTTGTTCATTTGAGCATTCATTCATGTGCTCATGCAACATATAGTTCCGGGGCACCTACTCTCTTCTAGGCACGATGAGGTGCTGGGCGCACAGGGGTACCTGCCCTCCTGGAGCTTTTAGTCTAGCTATGAAGAGGCACAGACTTGAAATAGTTCCTGATGACATCACAGTTGCCATAGTGCTTCATAGAGGTGAGGAGGCAGCAGCAGGGGCTCACGACAGCAGGAAACTGGCCTCATGTTGGGGTGTTGGTCTGCTGGAAGTAATGTTTAAGCTGCAACTTGGCTGAGGGGTAGGCCTGAGTTAGGCCATTGATTTTCAGACTTGAGCATGCATTTAAATCACCTGAAATTTCCTTGAAAAAAATCGCCAGGCTCTACCCTCAGAGTTTCTGATTCAGTAGGTCTGGAGCCCGTCCAAGAATTTGCATTTCTAACAAGATCCCAGGTGACACTGATCCTGCTGGGCCAGAGACTTTGGGAACCACTGAACTGGGCAAAGAATTGGGAGGAGAGGGCATTCAGGTAGCGGAAACTGCACGTACAAAGGTCCTGGGGCTGGTTTGGGCTTGGCAGTTTCCAGGAACCAAATGAAGGGCCAGAGGGTGGAGCAAAGCACAAGGACTGTGGGAGGAAATGCTGTAGAGAAGCAGGCAGGGCCCTGACCACACAGGCCTTGCAGACTGGGCTGGAGAGTTCAGATTTGATCTGAAATGGAATGGGGAGTCCGGGGAGGTTTTAAGCAGGGAAGTATCAACATCCAGTTTACATCTTGAAATGCCCTGTCTGGCTGCCAGGGTGGAAGTGAGATGGCAGAGAATTGCATGGAGCCAGGGAGGCCCCTGCAAGCATCCAGGCAGGAATTGGCAGTGACCAGACCAGGCTGATGACAGCAGGCATGGAGAGGCACGGGACGTGTCTGAATGAGTCCACGCTCCTGCTTTCCAGGAAGTTTTCCTGATCAGTTTGGTTCCACCCTTCAATCTGTGAACCCTAATTTCTCACTTGAAGAAGTTGTCCTATGTTGACGTGACATTAGCAGTTCCTTGAGGGTAGGGCTGTGTGTGTCATATGTGAGTCACATGCAGCCCCTAGTTGGATACACAATACCTTATACTAGCTGGCCAAAAGCACGGGACAGTTTACCTGCAATGGTTACCACATCCAGTTTTCCAAATACCCTGCAGGAAAGGTGGAGTTGTGCCCATTTTGCAGAGGGGGAAAACTGAGATTCAGAAAGGGCACGGGATACTCCCAAGCTCCCCAAGGTGGGCTGAAGGAAAAGCAAGATTCCCTCTACAGACTGGGGTGCCCTCTGGTGACCAGACAAAGGGAACAGGGACATCACCACCCGTGAACCCTAGACAGCAACCACAATTCTCTTTGGAGGTATCAGCAGCCTTCCCCAGGATGATGATCAGGCCACCGGAAATATTAAGCAGATAGAGAAGAAATTGCAGTTTTGAAGAAGTCAAAAATGGCCAAATAGCAGCAGTTTCCTGTGGTTCAACTGAAATCAAAATATAAAGAGGAAATCTTACAATTCCAGAAAATTCTGCTACAGCATGAGGAAGAGGAGTCACCATGCAGTCTAAATTGTCTCTGGAAGCAGCTCCCCCCCACACACAGAAGAGGGGGCCGTACAGGGATGCAGCATCTTAGAATCAGTCTATAATGCAATCAATTTTGTACATCCCTGGTGAAACAGCAACATTTATTTAACGTCTTTTATAGAGCAGCTGAGTTTTATCACAAATCACATTCCATTTCTATTCATCTGGGACTCCTTGAAGGCTAAAATGCACTTACTTTTCTCCGAGGAAATTTACCAATTCCTCAGTAAAGACCCATTTGCCTCTGTATGTAAAATTGACACATTTATTGAATATTAAACATTTAAGGTTTTTTTTACCAACCCCCTCCCCACCCACACCTTTTTTTTTTTTTTTTTTTTACACTTTTCCACAAAGCTTCATAGTCATTAGGGAACCTTCCTCAAAGTGGTGAGAAACACATATTTATGGGCAGAAACCAGCCGACATTTAAATTTGGGGCTTTCTGATTACTGGGAAATGGTCAAGTGACATCATAAATTTATAGAGCAGCACCCCATGCCTTTGAGTGGCCTCTCTAAGCTGTGTGCTTTTCCCATCTCTTTGTGGCAGGCTTGGTCACGCGGCAATATCGTGTTGGGTTCTCAACAAAAGTTTTTTTGTCTACACTCATAACATTTGCAGAAGGTAGGGACTGCCTCCCTGGCAATAAATTGTGCTAATTAGCATGAGGGCCTATTAATAAAGCAAGTTTTCTTTTATCCATGTTACTGAATGGTCGGAGACATCAGTTAAAGTGTATGTTCAAGACAATGTCTTTTTCACCGCCGGTTGCAATGTTTTTGTTTAAAAAAAAAAAGTAAGCGGGGATCTGGGCAGCTTATTGTACATGTTTTTGTGTCTTTAACATGAGAGACGGCTGAACTGTTGAACTTAGGTCTTGAATGTTGGGTCCAGATCTCCTACCTCTGTCTCTAAATCAAGGCATTAGGTGGCAGGGGCGGGAAGGCAGTGGGTGCTTTTCCCTAGATTGGGGGGAGAACTGATGGGGTTTGAGGAGTCTCTTCTTCTTCTTCTTCTTTTTTTTTTTTTTTTTTTTTTTTTGAGAGACAGAGTTGTTTCACTCTGTTGCCCAGGCTGCAATACAGTGATGCGATCACAGCTCACTGCATCCTCAAACTCCTGGGCTTAAGCAATCCTCCTGCCTCAGCCTCTTGAGTACCTGGGAACACAGGTGTGCACCACACCTAATTTTTTTTTTAATTTTGTAGAAACAGGGTCTCACTATATTGCCCAGGCTGGTCTTGAACTCCTGGCCTCGAGCAATCCTCATGCCTTGGCCTCCCAAAAGTGCTGAGATTACAGGTGTGAGCCACCATGCCCAGTGTGAGGAATATCTTCCTAATGAGCTTGGGGATCGGGGAGACTCAGGCTCCAGTCCTGACTTCCCTACCTGCCATCTTTGTAACCTTAAGCAAGTGACTTTTACCTCTTGAAGCCTCAGTTTCCTCTTCTATTACATAAGGATAACCACAGTGCCCATGTCATGGGGCTGTGGGCAGGATTAAATGAACTAATCCATGGAAGATTCTGGAAGGAACCCCAAACATCATTGCTCTTGTCCTGGGGACTTTATTCAGTGCCAGGTTTGGATGGGGAAAAAAAGGTTGTTGTGTCCAACCCCCACTCCAGGCTCTATTTTCCCTCCACAGGATCTATCAGGTCACCAGTATATGCTGGGCCACCTTTGGGGACAGGGCTCCTGACCATCAGGGCTGCTTTCCTTTGTTGGGCTGAAACTTGTTCACATGTGACTTCCTTGGCCCACACAGATCTGAACTCCTCTCCCATTCATTCCCCAATTCCTCCAGTCTGTTCACCGGAGGAAATGCCTGCAGGTCCTTTGAGATCCAGTTTTCTCAACCTCGCACATGAAGGGCATTTTGGACTGGAAAATTTCTCATTGCAGGGTCGTCCTGTGCCTTGTAAGATGTTTAGCAACATCTCCAGCCTCCACCCACTAGACGCCAGTAGTACACCCCTAGTTGTGACTATCAAATATATCTTTAGACATAGCCAAATGTCCCCCAGAGGACAAAATCACCCCTGCTTGAGAACCACTGTTCTAGAGTTTTGGGTCTTCCCCGTGCTGGGCTCCTTCAGGATGTCTTATCTCTGTGCCCTCTGGCATGCCAGCACCCCTGTGGCTTATGCATCCAAAATGTTTTCCGTGCCTACTTGGGAGCAGGGCCCGCGTTTACTTGGCACAAGCTAAACCTTGTTGAGAGCCTGAGACCCCAAAAGCAAACATCATGAAAAATCAAATAAAATTGCCCCCACTTTTCCCCCCTGCAGCCATCTCTGCAAAAGACAGGTACCACCGGGACCAAGGGGTGGCTGGGGCTTCCTAGTTGCAGTTTTCATTTTGAAGACAAGGATGATTTTTTTTTAGCGGAGTCTCACTCTTTCACCCAGGCTGGAGTACACTGGTGTGATCTTGGCTCACTGCAGCCTCTACCTTCCAGGCTCAAGCAATTCTCCTGCCTCAGCCTCCCGAATAGCTGGGACTACAGGTACGCGCCACCACGCCTGGCTAATTTTTGTATTTTTAGTAGAGATGGGATTTCACTGTGTTGGCCAGGCTGGTCTCGAACTCCTGACCTCAAGTGATCCGCCTGCCTCAACTTCCCAAAGTGCTGGGATTACAGGCGTGAGCCACCGTGCCCAGCCGAGGATGATTTTTCTGGTAGCGTTCATCTGAACAGTCAGAGCTAACTTTTCATGGAATGGAAGGTCAGTGGTCATTGAAGGTTTCTGACCAGGGCTGGCCCGAGGCCTGGGTTAGCATTTGGGTTTTGCTGTTGATTGTCCTAGTGACGATACCTCTGTGGACCTCAGTTTCCTCATCTCTATAATGGGAATAAAAATATAACTGTCTCAAAGCATTGTTGCTGCCATTCAGAGAATCACCCCATACAAAATGCCCAGCGCGTAGTAAGCAATCAATAAGTTATAGCTGTCATTGTTTGTTCTTATTGTTGTTTGCCAATAAGAAATACACATCCAAAGAATGAGAGTAATTCACCCAAGGTCACTCAGTGGTTCTGTGTAAAAACACTGGGTCGAGCATCTTTTTTCCAGAAACCCTGGGGTTTTCTGCAAAGGTCTGTCTGTGTCTAGAAGAAGAGATTCCAAGATGATCTATTTTATGTGATTCTCACCCCATTAACAGCCTGCAGCTTTGCCAGAATATCCTCTTTTCACTTTCATTTTAAAAACCAGCCAGTGTAATAAATCTTGCCCCGAAATCTCGGCAGCACATCTTGGCTGGAGTGTATGATAAATCTAATATACTGTGGCCTCTCTGTATGAGAGACCCTAGTACATATCTGTATTTTGGGCAGACAGCCCTGTGGTCTGGCAGGAATATAATTTGCTGTCACGTTGACAAGTCCAGCCCTCTGACTGGGTTCATCCTTGTTCCACAACTTCCTTGGCTCAAGGGTGGACTTATGACCCGGTCCAGCCACTCCCCCTCCCCCATTTAAAACACAGAACGTGACTGAGAACTAGAACTGGATTTGCAAGGGACCAGCTGGGATGGAAAGGGAATGGTCACGGGTGGGACACTGGGAGGGAGGGCAGGGGTCCCCACTTTGATCAGTCAATGAATATTTCTTAAATACCTACTATGTGCCTGGCATCATGCCAGGGGCTGGGTACACAGGTGAACAAGACCGAGTCAGGGTTTAATGAGGGAGATGGACATTTATGGGATGGCCGTTTGGAATGAAGTCCAATGATTTATGCCTGTGATGAGGGCTCAGATGGAAGCGCAGGGGCCGTGGGGGCTTGGGGATGTCCTGTGGTGGTGATATCCCAGGGCTGAGCTGGAAGACCGTGTGCATGTGCCAGGTCCAGGAGCGTGTCTGGACTCTGTAACGGGGAATGACAGCAAGGGGGTCAGCGGTCGGCGCAGGGGAAAGCAGGGCTGAGAGAGGCCTGGGAGCAGACTGTGCAGGACCACACAGGGCCTTTTGCTCAAAGCCAGCAGCAGCCAAGGGGGGTTTGGAAGGATTAGTTTACCTTTCAGACGTTCCCTGAGCTACCGCACAGAGATCAGACTGGACAGGGCAATAGTGGGAGCCCTAGAGGGGACCGTGGACTCCCCTCCTCATTGAGGATCCCCTCACAGGGAGCCTAGCAGGACCCCTGGAAGGCCAGGAAACAGTGCCCAAAAGGGTCAAGGACTTTGGAATGCATTTCAGCCCCAGCCCTGCCCCTGACTGACCTGTTTAAATCACTTCCCCTCTCTGAGCCTTGGTTTCTTCACCTGTAAGATGGGCATAATACCAACACCCGCCGTGGAGGAGTATTACAAAGATAAATCAGGAGACCACATATAAGGTGCACAGGATGGGGACACCAAGCACCCAAGAAATGTTCATGATGAATTCTGTTTACTAGCTGTGTGACCTGGGGATGTTTAACTTCACTTCTTTGGGCCTCAGTTTCCAAATCTGCAGAATGGCATTAATAACGATCCTACTTCATGGTGGTGTTGAGAGGATTGAATGGGTTAGAATGGTGCGTGGCACAGAGTTCATTCCGGCTGATCTGAGCCATCGCCGTGGTTGTTGTTGTTGTTGTTGTTGTTGTTTTGCCTGCCCTTTCCTTTAGTTTCGTGTATGACATGATTGGTCAGCAGGGGCCATGGTTTTGTTTTTTTTTTTTGGTGTTGAGTCTCACTCTGTACCCCAGGCTGGAGTGCAGTGGTGCGATCTCAGCTCACTGCAACCTCCACCTCTCGGGTTCAAGTGGTTCTCCTGCCTCAGCCTCCCGAGTAGCTGGGACTACAGGCACATACCACCATGCCACCATGCCCAGCTCATTTTGTATTTTTAGTAGAGACAGGGTTTCGCCCTGTTGGCCAGGCTGGTCTGGAGCTACTGACCTCAGGGGACCTGCCCGCCTGGCCCACCAAAGTGCTGGGATTACAGGCGTGAGCCACCGTGCCCAGCCCCTGGGACTGTAATTTTTACCCTGACCCCGGATCATGCCATGGCACTAGTCCAGATCCTGTCTTGTGCTCCACTGCATCCCTGGCAGAATTCCAGCCCCCATGGGGCCCCCTGACCCCACCCTCCCCCCACCTCACCCTGCTGGGCTTCTGACCTTGTGTCCCTCCTCACCTTGGACAACAAGCTCATCAGAATTAAAGGAGTCTTCGGGAACCCTCCACACCCCTGACTGGTGCCTGCAGGTGTTCCTCTCTACAGTCTCATTCATTCCCTCACTACTTCCTCCCTCTCCTGCTTTCCAAGAAGCAGAATCACCTTCCACTTCTCCAGCGCAGGACATGAGCAGATCCCTCTACAGGGAGGGAAACCAATTCCACGGACCCTTAAGAATTGCTCCTCTCAGCCTGAGTCTGCAGACCTCCACCGAAGAACCCTTGACATGTGGCATTCAAATCTTGGGCTAAGAAATGATCCTTCAGCCGCCAGCTGTCCCTGCAAAGGAGAATTTGGGCCTTTACGACAGGCCGAGAAATAATTTCTTTGGATTCGTGTCAACATAGAAAAGTAAAAGGAAAGGTTAGGGGACACACA
The DNA here is from genome assembly GCF_000001405.40 of Homo sapiens. Lineage (NCBI taxonomy): Eukaryota > Metazoa > Chordata > Mammalia > Primates > Hominidae > Homo > Homo sapiens. The sequence continues at coordinate 111,180,573 of NC_000012.12, forward strand.
GTTTGGAAAACGCTGGCTTTGGCTCTCATATTCTGGAACTTTCTTCCTCCCAGTCTGATAGGAACAAAGGGCCTCTGAGGATCTGGTGGGACTGAGGCCTCCAGTCCTCTCCTCTCCTGGACCTCTCAGCTCCTGCAGCTGTGGTGGCCCCATGCCTGGGTCCCAGGGAAAACCTAGTCCTCCCCCAGCCTCCCCAGACCCAAGGTTGCCTCCCCTCCTCAAAGTGAGAAGGCCGGTGGGCGAGGCTCCCCTGAGTTATTGAGGGAAGAAATATGGCCGAGAACCCTTTCTGTAAAAATAACCTCCCGGGCTCCTCCTTTATGGGTGAGGGAAAGTGCTTAAAATGCTTAGAGGGAATAAACAGCTTTTAATGAAGTTACATTGCCACATAATGGGTATCATAAAATTGCCTTCATACTACAGGGTCCCAGGATGGCATTTATTATCGACTGCGCCGGAATAGTCTTTGCAGAGCTCCGGCAGCTGCAGAGAGAAGAATGCAAAAGTCTCCTTAAATTACCTGATTGAAATAACCAGGCGGAATATTCCGCGGGGCCGCCGCGTGCCAGGGAAGCCGCCTTTGGGGTGGTCTGTCAGAGGCGGTTTGTGCATTCTGAGGAACACAGGAGTTTCATTGCAGCAAAACAGATGTTCATCTTGTTTCTCCATCGGCTGTTTGATGAGAAATTTATTGCTCTTCCGCTGGGCAGGAGGCCCCTCTCGGCTGTGGAGTCTATTAGGCAAGCCAGCAGCTGGCGGGAAGCCAAGGTGAGGCTGTTTTGATGAAACCCATGAAAAGCTTTGGCTTGGAGGCGCCGGTAATAATGCACTGGCTAGACTCTCCTGATTGGGCGATTGATTGGCCTGATTTGATTTATTGATCAATACCCTCAAATTTGGCGTCTGAGAAGCTGCACTAATCTTTAACTGTTGTGAACATCTCTACCTGCTGGAGAATTAGATCCTGATAAGGAATGTATGAAAGGAATCGGGGCTTATCTTAATCACACACCGGGCCCCAGCACTGCCCGAGCCGGCGAGGGCCTCTGTGCACCAGCTCCATTGCCAGGCAGGCCTGCGCAGATCTATAAATTGATGGAATTCAAAGCCTCCAGCATCGATTACCGTTATAACAAACAGTGGTGCACAGAATGTCTGATTATTTTTAGACAAAGATTCTGTTCTCTCAGCAGCAATTTTGCTGAGGCTGTCACTGTGTCAGATGTCTACTGTTGATTGCAATTAGATGCAATACAAAAAAAAATTAAACTATCTGCATCCTCACTCTTATTTCCAGTTATTAAATCTCTCTCTTTGTTTGCCATTTCCTCATGATATCTACAGCTGGATGAAATATTTGGTTGGCAAGAGAAATCCTTGTAATTCATGGGGGGTGCAAGGACCCACTGACTCATCGGATTATCTCCGACGGGTGCACCTAATCTGGGAGGAGGGGAGGCGCACAGGGAGGTGGGGGGACATTTGTTTAAAAATGTGCAAAGGGAAGACTTGATGCAAAGATGTTTCAGGGCAGGGTCGGGGGATAAAAATCAATCTCTGAAGCCCTCCCGAATGACTGTGATGGGTTTAATCTGTGTTCCGTTCCCTTCCACATAGAGCAGGACCTAACTAGAGACATGCCCCCATCCTAGGGCCCCGGGGAGGTTATCCATAGTGATCAGAGCTCAAAGGTTGGCACCACTTGAAATAATTAATTCCTCTAAACAGAGGACCACTTCCACGCTAAATCATACCTGAAGAGTGGGCTCCAGGTAATTGCAGGTATGAACAAATTAGGCATTCTCTTTTACATACAGCCCGGCGGCCAGCATCCTGGCGTTGGGCAAATCCATTCATCATCCTGACGTTCTCCAGTTGATCCGTCTTCTCAGAGCCATTAGCCCCCACGTCCTTGACGGTGGAACAGTTGTAAACTCGAGACCATCCGTGGGGTGGCTGAGACTGACAATTCATTACGCAGTTGGATGGAGAAGGCGGCTCAGGTGACAATGCTGAGGCCTCCCAGTTCCCAGAAGCTGGCTCCGCTTGGAATTGGCAACTGCTGGCTAATTTTAGAACAGTCATCGTTGGGGATGGAGAAGGAGGAGGAGGCAGCTTTGACTTTGGGGTCAGACGAGCGGGTCCTGCAGAAATTGGCTGAGCTCAGTAACACATTGATCACCAAGGCAAGTGGTCATCTTCGTTCAGGTGGGCATGGGACAGTGGTCCCTGAGCCAGCCCAGGATACATTCAAGTGCCCCCAAAAGGACATTCCAGGGGAGCCAATGAAGGGACTCATAGCTCCCTGGTGACAGGGAAAGGGCCAGTCTCGTTCAATAATCGGAATAGCACCAGCCATTTATTCGCCACCAACTGCCCCGGATCCTGTACCAAGCATTTGACATGCACCTTCCTCCTTCAATCTGCCCGGGTACCTTGGGAGGAGGTTATAATTCTACCTGTTTGGGAGATGCAGAAACTGAGGCTCAGAGGCCTTGAGCAACTTGTCCAAGGTCACACAGCTAAGAATGGGTGAGGCTGGAAGTCAAATTCAGGTCAGTTTCTGAAGTTTATGTGCTTCACCCCAGTTGAGAACTCAATGAATATTTGTGGAATGGCTGGATGAATTACTGAATGAATGAATGATATGTGAACATCCAGTCGGGACTCAGCTGGGCTCTGGGATAGCCAAGAATGACAGGGTCAGGCTGTCCCTCAGGCAGGCCTGGCATTTGGGCCTCCAAGCCTGCTGGGGGTGGCTCCTGCTTCATCTTCATGGGCATAGAGCTGTGCCCAGGCTCCAGTCCCCTCAGTTGGAGGAGCCAGTTTAACATCACCAGAGAATTCTGTGCAAGGAAATCTCAGGGTCTGAGGGGTCTGGCAATAGGCAGAAGCAACACCGGGGTCTCAGAGGCAGGGTGAGGTTGTTGTTTACCTGGCTGGGAGCCAGATTGCTTCGAGCCAGGATAGCATGGGGGTTAAACGCTCAAACCCTAAAGTCAACAGACCTTGGTTTGAATCCCAGCCTCATCACATTCTTAGCTTTGTGTGACCTTGGGCAAGTGACTAAACCTCTCTGGGCGTCACTTCTCCATCCTGCAGGTAGGGCTGATGACAGTGCATCCCTGTCCAGGTGACTGTGAGATAGAATGAGGTCATACACATCAGTGCTCACATAGTGCCTGGCGCGTTCTGTTTGGTGGCAGTAATTATTGGCCTAGGGCATTTGGGGAGTCCCACCACCCCCTGCAGATATTTGTGACTAACAAGCTTATTTAGCTCAAGGAGAATTCCAGGTCAAGGCAAAGAGGTATCAAGTGACCTCCTTGAAGTTACTGTGAGACTTTTTCCTTGGGTGGCTGGCACCCATTGCTACCTATTGTCACCTATTGCCACCCTCTTCTGGACACACTTCAATCGTCCGTATCCTCTGCCTTTTCCCTTTTACATCCTCGACATCCTGACCCTCATCCTCGGCATGGCTGCAGGAAAGAGGCAGTCCCTTGCGGGGTTGATGGGAGCAGCCATCAATGTGGTCCCTTTGAGGGGCAAGCTGGCAACATCTATGACATTTACATAGGTGCAGCTGTGTGACCCAGTCCTTCTTTGTCTAAGAACTTATTCTTCAGATACACCCATATGTGACTACCAAGATGTACATCTCAGTGTGTTGGTGTGGCATTAATAGTAAGAGGAAACCCTGGAAAAAACCTAAGTATCCATGAGTCGGGGATTGGAAGTAACCTGTTTCCACAAGGTGGGGACTGGAAGTAAACTAAGTGTCTATGAGTGGGGAATTGGAAGTAACCTGAGTGTCCATGAGTAGGGGATTGGAAGTAACCTAAGTGACTGAATAGATAAGACTCATCCATACAAAATATTCTGCAACCATAAAGAGGCAGAAGGATGCTCTTGATGTACTGATAAAAAGGAGCAGACAATAAATTCTATGAAAATGGCACACTGTCAGCCTAGGCAACATGGCAAACCTTCTCTCTACCAAAAAAAAAAAAAAAAAAAAAAAAAACAGAAAAATTAGCTGGGTAAGGTGGCACGCACCTGTAATCCCAGCTACTTGGGAGGCTGAAGTAGTAGAATCACTGGAGGCCAGGAGTTTAAGACTGTGGTGAGCTATGACCACACCACTGCACTACAGCCTGGGCAACAGAGTGAGACCCTGTCTCAAAAGAAAAGAAAATGACACATTGCGGCTGGGTGCGTTGGCTCATGCCTGTAATCCCAGCACTGTGGGAGGCCGAGGCGGGCAGATCACGAGGTCAGGAGATCGAGATCATCCCGGCTAACACAGTGAAACCCCGTCTCTACTAAAAATACAAAAATTAGCCTGGCATGGTGGCGGGCACCTGTAGTCCCAGCTACTCGGGAGGCTGAGGCAGGAGGAGAATGGGGTGACCCAGGAGGCGGAGCTTGCAGTGAACCAAGATGGCGCCACTGCACTCCAGCCTGGGCTACAGAGTGAGACTCTGTCTCAAAAAAAAAGGCACATTGCATAACAAGGTATGGGATATCCTCTGAGTAAAACAAAGGAAAGAAAGATTCTGCTTCTGTATTTGCTTGAATATAAGTAAAGTATCTTTAGAAGAACACAGAATAAAGGTGGGCACCTCTGGAGGAAGAAGACTTTGATGTTGAATTCTTCTGTGCTGTTGCCATTTTTATCCTATGCATATCATACTTTAGCAGTGTCAAAATGGTACTGTTTTTAAAATGAGTATCATGGAAAGAGAACCTGGATTCTTGAAGTCAAATTTGGAAGCAAGTACTGGCTCTGTTATTTACTGGAGGGGTGACCTTCGATAAGCAATGGCAGCTCTCTATGCCTCACTTTTGCCATCTGTAAAATGGTGGTCACCCAGAGCAGGGACAGGTGTCGGCGTAATCGTGTACTGAAACCGCTGAGCCAGCCTGCGCTTCACCCACAGTTCCTAGCTGTTCTTATCGCCAGCTGCAGGCTGGAAGGAGGTGCTGTTTCTGGCTGTGCTAGGCCCAGAGCCCTTCGTGGGGGTGTCCAGCACTGGCTGAGTAGGGTGCTGAGGACAGAGGTCTGGCCCTGAGCCCCGAGGGGACCCCGGCACACACTCAGTGCAGCCCCTGAGCCCATTAGCCTGGGTAGGCTCAGTAATGGAGCCCTCCCAAGAGGCCCAGCCCCTACAGTCACAGCTCTTCTAATGAGGCCCAGTCCCAGCTCAGCCTGGCCGAGGGGGACAAGCTGGGGGCTTGACAGTACCTGCCTGTGTCAGCTCCACGGTCCGAGGGGGCTGCCTGCAATGTAGGAGCTGCTAGGCAGTAGTTGGTCTCTCATTCTCCCTCTCTCTCTCATACCTCATCCCTCCCTCCCTGTCTTTCTGTTTGTCTCTGTGCCTGTCTCTCTCTCCCCCTCTCTTTCTGTATTTCTCTGTCTTTCACTCTGTCTTCAGACTCTGTTTTCTGGTCCTCTCTCTTTCACTCTCACTCTCTCCCTCCCTCCCTTCCTCCTCCTGCCCTCTGTTCTGCCCTCGCCCCCTTTCTGTCTCCGTCTCACTAGATTTCGCTTTCACGTCCTCTCTCGGCATTTCTCCTCTTTCCCACTCTCGGCATCCATCCTGCCTTCCCTTCCCTTCTCTCCTTTCCCACATCAGCTATCTAAGGGCTGCCTTAGTTGTCACTGTGGATGCTTAGTCAGGTGACACTTATGGGGACCAGCTGTGTACTGAGCCAGGTGCTGGGAATAGGAGGCAGGAATGTGGTCCACCCAGGCCCCTGCCTTCAGGGGTGGACACTCCATGGGGGACGCAGGTGCTGAGAAAGTGGCATGAGGGCCTTGTGGGGAAGGCTAAGTTGCTATGACGTTAAGCTGAGACCCGAAGCATAAACTAGGCGGGGAACAGGGGAGCGGGAAGGGCACACGCGCAGGTCCTGAGGTCGGGTGGGGAAGAGGGAACTGAGCACATTCTGGCCACACCCGGCCACCAGGACCCATGGTTGCTGAGAGAGAGAAGGGCGACTCTGTGGCGTGAGGCTCGCAGCTGCACAGAGGCAGGGTCCCTGGGCTCGCCTTCAGCGCCGCCATCTGCCAGCTGTGTGACCTTGTATGACCTTGCCACTCTGAGCCTCTGTTTCCTTCTCTGCGAAGTGGAGATGGTGATGGTGCATACCTGAGAGGGTCGCTGAGACATGTGCAGGTATTAAAATCGATATGATGTGTGTATGTTTTTTTTTTTTTTGAGACAGAATTTCACCGCATCACCCAGACTGGAGTGCAGTGGTGCAATCTCAGCTCATTGCAACCTCCACCTCCTGGGTTCGAGTGATTCTCCTGCCTCAGCCTCCTGAGTAGCTGGGATTACAGGCACGTGCCACCATGCCTGGCTAATTTTTGTATTTTTGGTAGAGATGGGGTTTTGCCATGTTGGCGAGGCTGGCTTCAAACTCCTGACCTCAAGTGATCCACCCACCTCGGCCTCCTGAAGTGCTGGGATTACAGGCATGAGCCACTGTGCCTGGCAGCATGATGTATATTTTTACGCTCTAAGTATGAATGTGCTTAGAACTTGCCAGTGCAGAGCTGGGGCTATCCAGATGTTCACTTATGCTACCCTTGGTGGCGTTATTCGTGCTTCCTGCTCACAGTGCAATGCCAGGCCTCCATATCACCCAGCAGCCTGCAGGTTCAGTGACGCCGGCATCAGGACCCATCCTTCCCTTGCTCGTGACTCCTGTAGCATTGGGGCCTTTGCACCTGCTGTGCCCCCTCATAACGGACTCTTGCCCAGAGAGTCACATGGCCTGAGTCCCCGCTCGTTTAGGTCTTTGCCTAAAAGTCACCTCTTCCATGACCCTCCCCTGGCCCCCCCACTGCTCTGTGTGAAATTGCAGCTCTCTACCACCACCTCCCCCTACTCCTGACCCCTTTCCCTGCTTGAGTGTCCTCCCTCCCCATGTCCACACCTAAACGCATTTCAGTGGCTCATGTGGCTCATAGGTTGGAGACCTGGCTGGGGATTGGGGTACCCTGGCCTTGGGGCCTGCCACCCCTGGGCACCCCCGTGCCACTGGTGCCTGGAGTTGGCCTGTCTGTGCACAACAGGCCGGCTGGGTCTCCTGAGGTGCCACTCAGTCTCCTGAGTGGCATCTGTCCATGCAGAGCTCCAGCCTGGGGTTTCTGTGGCCCCCTGTCCAGGTGACCATGGACTGGCCCACTGGCCTGCTTCTTCACTGCTGGCTTTGGCCCACAGATGTCTGTGCTGGGGGCAGGGGTGATGGGGCTGAGAATGGGCCTGGAGTGCTGGCTCAGATCTGTTGAAGAGCCAGGTCCAACAGAGCCCCAGGTGGGCACAGCTGCCAGGCACCCTGCACCCCAGAGCCATCGATCACAGGCTTGCACTGAGTCACTCTGTTTTTAAACTTGGCCTATCTCATTTTCTTACGTCCCTCAAGGACATATTTCGAAAACCTTCAGTGGGCTGGCCAGGCTGTGTGGCATAGCCCTGGAAATCGATGACAGCTGAGTGGCAGGGGGGCTCAGGAATACTATGCAAATGCATCATTTGGCTCTCCAGGCCACTTCTGGCCTTGTTCCTTCAGCAAGCATTTATTGAGCACCTACTGTGTGTACTTTGTGGAATGGATTTTTCTACGTCAATAGACAGGTTACTAACACAAGTGTCTGCAACATCAGAAATCAAGAGCAGGTGAGAAATGGCGGAGGAAGAGGACGATGCAGTGTGGAGGAGGAGCAGGTGCTGTGTGCCAGGTGCTGCCCTGGGCTGGGACATGGCAAGAGAGACACGGACCCTGCCATCAGCATTGGGCAGGAGAGACTGCTGGACACCAGCAAAGGTGCTATCAAAGCAGCGTGCAGAGCTCTGTGAAGGAAGCCACCAGGGGCCGAGGGAGAGGAAGAACAGGGGTCCCATGTAGCAGGATGGCCAGGGAAGGCCAGCAGGAGCCAGTTATAGGAAAAATCTAGGGAGAAAGAGGTCCAGGCATGGGAACAGCAGGTGCAAAGGTCCTGAGGTAGCCAGATGCTTGGCCAAAGAACGTCAGAGTGGTTGGAACCCAGAGAGCGGGGGGGAAAGGAGGGCAGAGAAGTGGGCGGGGCCAGGTCACACTCAGCTTGCTGGCCCTGGGGAGCATTTGGTGCCCCAGCCTCAGGAGCAATGGGAAGTCACCCCTCTTGTCACGGCAGGTTTTAGGCTGCGGAGCGGTAGGATCTGATTCATGTTTGTGAACGCACCCATGGTTGTTGGAAGAGAGGGCAGCAGGAAGACCAGCAAGCAGTCTCCTGCACCAGTCCAGGTGAGAGAGGATGGGCTTTGTGGCCGTAGAGACAGCAAGATGTGGGCAGATTCAGGAGTATTTTGGGCAGAAGGAAAAAAGCTGATCCTCCCTCCCTTTACCCCCAGAATATTCACACAGAAAGGTGCACAGACCAGGCACAGTGGCTCACAAAATCCCAACACTTTGGGAGGCTGAGACGGGTGGATCACTTGAGCCCAGGAGTTTGAGACCAGCCGGGGCAAAGTGGGGAAACCCCGACTCTACAAAAAATTAGCCAAGTGTGGTGGTGTGCGCCTGTGGTCCCAGCTACTCAAGGGGCTGAGCTGGGAGGATCTCCTGAGCCTGGGAGGTTGAGGCTGCAGTGAGCCATGATTGCACCTCTATACTCCAGCCTGGGTGACAGAATGAGACCCTGTCTCAAAAAGAAAAAAGAAACAGAACATTCCCTGCTACCCAGAAACATCCCTTGTACCCATTCTAGTCCATGTCTAATCCACCCTACCCTGCCAGCAACATAACCATTCTCCTGCCTCCGAACTACACAGGCTTGATTTGCCAGTTTCTGTTTCTTACGTAAATGGAATCGTACAGTGTGTGTGCCCTTGCACTGGGCTGGTTTTGTTCCACATTGCATTTGTAAGATTTATCAATATTGTTTGTTGTGGTAGTTGATTCATGCTCGTGGCCACACCGTAGTATTCCATTGGGTGAGTAGATCACAAATGTATTTATCCATTCTCCTGTTAATGGGCATTTGGGTTGTTTCCAGTCTGGGGCTATTATGAATACTGCTTCTATGAACATTCCAGACCAGCGCTTCTCAAACGTTAATGTACTCATGAATCACCTAGAGAACTTGTTAAAATCAAGATCCTGATTCAGTAGGTCTGAGTGTTTGCATTGCTCTTAGGTTCTCGGGTGATGCCGACGCTGCTGGCCTGTGACCATACTTTGAAGACTGGGGCTGTATTTTGGTGAACATATTTCTCTGGGGTAGGTACCCAGGGGTGGCATTGCTGGAGCACGGGGAGGCATATGTTTAGCTTTAGTAGACGCTGCAAGTAGTTTTCCCAGATACTGACACTTCCTCCAGCCCTGTATGAGGTTCCAGTTGATCCACATCCTTGTCAACACTTGGTATTATCTGTCTTCCCTTGTAGCCATTCTGGTGGGTATGTAGCACTATCTCCTTGTGGCTTAAATTTTCATTTCCTTGGTGACAGATGAGGTTAAGCATCTTTTCGTGTGTTCATTGACTGTTGGGATCTCCTCTTATGTGAGGCACTGATTTCAGTCTCTGGCCCATTTTTCTATTTGATCATCTCTTCCTTACTGAATTTTTAGGAGTGCTTGATTCTGCACACATCAGATAAACTGTACATTCCTTCTCTCTCTCTGTGGCCTTGCCTTTGCGCTTTTATTGCACTTGTTCTTTTTAATGCAACAATTACTGCTCAGGACTCGGGAGTAGGGTGCAGAGGTTCCCATTTTGCCCGTCCTAACCAGATTACAGTATGTTGCTGGTGGGATTATCTTTCAGCTAGTTATTCACGCACACACCCCACACTCTTGTTCCTGACCTTTCTCAGGGAGACATCTCCCCAAATTCATGAACATTCCTCCACCTAGCCTGGCCCCACTATCTAAGCTGCTCAAGCCAGGGTGTCCACTTAACCATGGTCTTCCTTTTGCATTTTCCCACCTCTTGATGCTTTTTGACTATGAGATGAGTTCATCTTTCCTGGACATCCAGAGAGACGCCTGGCATTTTTAGCTGATCAATAGACCCTTTGTGGCCTAACAGAGACACACCTGAAGGTGGTTGGTCCCAGATGCGAGGAGCAAAGGCAAAAGAGAGGCAGGTGGGCATCTGCCTCTATGTGTAGCTTGTGCAAGATTGATTTCATTCTTGATCAGTGAAGATCTCTCACTGTTGGGTCTGCTGCTACCCCAAAGCTGAATGCCCCGGCTTTTAATCTGTGTGCGTTGACTCCTGCCATGAAACTGACACCCTCCAAGGACCCTCCTCACACTCACCTCCTGTTCGATGCTGGTCTCCAGCCACCTTCACTCCTGACCCAGCAGCTGAGCACAGCCGACCTGCTCGCAGATCCAGCACGCCAGGAGGGTCCTGCTGTCCAGCTTCCCACGGGACTCCACCCCCTGGCATCCCTTGAGGACAAACAGTAGAGGGGCAAAACTTGGAGCCTCCAAAGCCCCTCTGCAGGGGCTGGATCTGCAGCTACGCCACTCACAGATCTTGTGTACCAGGCAAGTGCTAACCTGTCTGAGCCTCAGTTTTCCCATGTATAAAATGGGGATAATGGTGGTACTCAACTGGTAGAGCTGCAGAGGGGGTGAAATGAAGTTTCACGGGTAAAGTGCTAAGAACGTGCCTGGCCCACAGGGGTCATTGTGTGGCTGTCTACCACTATTATTGTTCTTATTCTTTTATTATTTATTTATTTATTTATTTATTTATTTATTTATTTATTTTGAGACAGAGTCTTGCTCTGTCACCCAGGCTAGAGTGCAGTAGCATGATCTCAGCTCACTGCAACCTCCATCTCCTGCGTTCAAGCAATCCTCCTGCCTCAGCTTCCGGAGTAGCTGAGATTACAGGCACACGCCACCACGCCAGCTAATTTTTGTATTTTTAGCAGAGACGGGGTTTCACCATGTTGGCCAGGCTGCAGAACCTGACCTCAAGTGATCTGCCTACCTTGGCCCCCCAAAGTGTCGGGATTACAGGCGTGAGCCCCCATACCCAGCCCTGCCACTGTTATTCTTATGACTGGTCTGCCCGTGCCCAGGTTCTCTCCACCTGCCTTCTCCCATCTCATACCTGCTGATATCCACTGTGCCTTCTCCCACTTCCAGGCCTTTGGACCTGCTGTTCCTCTTGCCTGGAGTGTGCTTTCCTCTGTTCTCCACCTGGGGACCCCCCCACTTTGTTCATGCCCAGAGGCCAGTGTCACCCCACCTCCTTCGGGGCACCTCCCTGACCCCTGGTACTGGTGCTCTGAGCTTGCCAGTGGGATGGATGGTTGGTCTTCAGGTTGTGGGGAGCAGGAGTCAGTCTCTCATGATGCTTATAAGGGAGGATATTTATTGAGCACTTACTGCATACCAGTTTAATTATGGGGGCTTTTTATTGAGCACCTTATCTTGGTCTTACTAACACCCTGTGACCACCAGCAATAGAGGCCCACGCATGCAAAGCCCCAGGTTCTGCAGTGAGAAGGTGGCTGAGGGGATTATTATTATTTGTTTATTTATTTATTTATTTTTGGAGATGGAGTCTTACTCAGTCACCTAGGTTGGAGTGCAGTGGTGTGATCTCGGCTTACTACAACCTCTGCCTTCTGGGTTCAAGTGATTCTTCTGCCTCAGCCTCCTGAGTAGCTAGGACTACAAGCACACACCACCGACGCCCAGCTGATTTTTTTGTATTTTTAGTAGAGATGGGGTTTCGCCATGTTGGCCAGGCTGGTCTCGAACTCCTGACCTCAAGTGATCCTCCCACCTCAGCCTCTCAAAGTGCTGGGATTACAGGCGTCAGCCACTGCACCCTGATGGCTGAGGGGATTTGAACCCAGCCCTGCTCCTCCAGCCCTTTCTTTTCCCCGAGAACTACATAACCTGCCTTCCAGCTCATGCCTTTTTCCTGCTTTCACTAGATCTTCATCAGGTGTGGCTGCTAATAACCCCTGCTGGCTGCTCTCTTCCCCCACCAGGAACCCTAGGAAAGGAGAACTTGTCTGTCCAGTTCATCATCGCAGCCCACCCGGGGTCTGACACAGAGAAGGACCCAAAAAGTCCTGGTTAAGTCAGCAGCTCTCAGGGTGTGGGTCAGTGACCCCTGGATGTCCTGAGACCTTTTCCTTGGGGTTTGCAAGATCAAATTACTTTCGTAACAATACTAAGCTGCTACTTGCCCTTTTTACTCATATTCTTTCACAAACACATGGTGGAATTTTCCAGAAGCTATCCAAGGTGTGATGACATCATCGTTCCTATGGCTAATAGCGTGTGTGTTTGTGTATCTTTGTGCTTTAAACATGTCTCAGTTTTAATTTTGAATATGATGACTATTGATTGCTGTGACCTACCCAGACAAAGCCCTTTAGGTTCCTCCATCATTTTTAAGCACCTAAAAGGGTCCCAAGACACAAAAGTTTTGAGAGCCACTGTGTTCAATGAATAAATGAATGAGTTGGGTGAAGGAAAGAGTGAATGGAGTGTGAGCCAAGGCATTTGGACCTGGCTTGTCTTTAAGGGTTGGTGGTCAGGGTGGCGGAAAATGGATTCAAGGGAGGAAAGAGCGACACAGGAGTCCAGGAGAGAGGGAGACGTGGAATTACCCAAATCCCACCTGCCTGACTGCGCCCCATAGCCCTGATTAGTCCCTCCAAATACCCTCTGACCTGGCACAAGCATCCCCGGCACAGCCGGCGGCTGACTGTTCTGAGGTGTTTTCTACAGCAAAACAATTTGAAATAATTAGAACTTTACAAAATGTCTTTAAACACGCTGGTAATGGGCATAAGAAAACACTTGTGAAGTGTAATCAGTTATTAGCAGCTGATCAATTATCCTCATGGATAGCTGTTGGGGGGGAGAAAAGAAGCAATAATAAGCCCCTTGATTAACTAATTTGAATATCTTTGGGGAACAAATTCTGAAATTTCTTTCTATTTTCTCCCTCGCTATTGTAATTGTAACGCCGGCCGCACATCTGCTGGATAAAGACGGATGGAAATGGTAATGAGTGTTCTGCTGTGAACAGGCCCCTTGTTCGGGATCCAGGAATGAAGGCGCTGGAGGTGTGGGGGCTGCGGGGGCTGCCGGCTGGGCCTGGGGACCTCTCACTGGCTGGAGTGGGCAGCACTGCCATGGGCTTGGCCTCCGCCTCCTGATGAGATGTCAAGGTCGGGGGAAGCCGGCTGCGATGGGCAAAGGGCATGCGCAGACAGGTGCCCCTCTGGGAAACATTACAGATTCTCCTGAAGACCCTCTAGGGCCAGCTGGGATGGAGACAGTCTGTCCCAGGATGGAGCAGACAGTGAAGGAAACCAACATTCTGGATGCCAAGGTTGGGCTCCTCCGCAACCTTGCTGGGTGATAGGCTTACAAAAGGCAGGGGTGACTCAGCTGGACAGCATTAAGGACCTCCACATTCCTGCGGGGTCTTTGGTCTCACAGTGCAACATGAACATATCACACCGGTGGCCACCTGGGTAGCAGTAGCCTTGTCACTAAAGCGAATCTCTAGAGCCAGACTCTTTGTCTTGAATCCAGCTCTGCCCCCTCAGCTGTGTGACCTTAGGCAAGTGACTTAACCTCTCTGTGCCTCAGCGGTGCTCATCAGCGAAACAGGAATAATAACAGCACCCCCCTCCTGGGGTTCTTGTAGCACAGGGCCACGCACGTGATAAGCACAAAATAAATGGAAGCCGTCACTGTTATTATTCTCTCCATCCTGCATAATTAACAGGCTAGACCCGAGTTTGCAAACTGGCAGGCCGGGGTCCAACTCCCCAGTAAATCTGTTTTGTTTGGCACAAACTGCATTGTTAAAATTTTTGTCTGAACTTGTTGCCAGTGATTACAGTTCAGGAGATTTTCACATCAAAAATCTGGATTTGGGGCCTTTCTGGAGAACTAGACTCCCGACCCTGCTGGGCCCACAGTTCCATGCAGCACCGATCGGCCAGAGCTGAGCATTGCAGCCTCCTGTAGCAGGGACGCTGGTCTTTCCTTTGCCATGTCCCCATCCCACCCAGTCATTCCAGGGCATCACCTCGTGGGCCCCTGCCCTCACCTGTAAGCCCCAGGAGGTCAACTGGGAACAGGTCACCTCGGTCCCTGATGTACCCGGTGCCCGTCACACAGCAGGTGCTTAAAGCATATTTGAATGAGCGTGTCTTCAGACGAGAGGCTGATTACATGAGCAGATCCAGTTCGCGAGCAGCCCCAGAGCCTGGGTGGTCTTGCCTGAGCGAGGCAGCAAACTCCAGCCTTGGTTGTGTCTATCTGGGGACCCCCAGCTGTCCAGCTCCTGTACCACCCAGTGGCCATCAGAAGAAAGTCCTGCTGCCTGTGAACTCCCATCTCCCTCTCCCCAACCCTACAGGAGATGTTCTGGAGACCCACATGCGGGGGTGTCAAACTCCTATCCCTTAAGCAGCAGATCTGAGGCCCAAAGTGCACCAGAGAAGCCACAAACAGCCCCGTGGCCAGCCAGCACCTGCAGTCACTGGTCCACGTTCCTCTCATTCAGACAAGGCCTTTTCTGTATTTTGTTTGAAGCTGTTCAAAAAAGAGCATGTGAAACCACTTTTAAAATCCCTCCCTCCCTTTCCTGCCCAACGCACCTTTTTTTCCCTCCCCTGACTGTTCCATCGCTTAAAAATGGCTTAACCAATTTGGGTTATTTTTAGAAAAATGCTGGTATGTTGGCTGACAACCTATATTCTAAGTTTCAACCTGATATGGAAAAGACAGAGTTTATAAACCCCTAGGAGAAAAAAAAAAGAAACACAAAACATTGCTTTAGAATAGAAATCATCTGAAACTGACCCCATGGGTCCCGGCCAGCGGGGCATCACTGGGCACCAGCCTCCGGTGTGAGATTTCAAGGGTACAGAATGAAATTGGTTCTTGCAAGCTTCTGCCAACATCGCTGGGAGAACTGGGTGGAGCATCTTGTGGACTGACAGACACGAGTTGGAACCCTGGTTCTTCCACGCTCTGTCCTTGAGCTGGGGAAGCGCCTTCCCTGAGCCCTTGGGTCTGCCATCTGTGACATGGGGATACTGGTAATCACCGTAGCTAGGGACACAGAGCCCAACACTAAGGACTTGTCCATAATGTTTGTTATAATCTTGATGGACCAATGCAAAGACAAGGCTCTCAAAGCCAGCACAAGCCTTATGAATATGAGGAGTGGCTGCTAAGCCTAGCTTCCCCTACCTCCTCATTTCTTTTTTTTCCAGCAGCTTTATTGAGATATAATTGATATGCCATGAAATTCACCTATTATACATGTACAACACAATCGATTTAGTATATTTATGGAGTTGTACAACCATCACCACATCCAGTTTTAAAACATTTCTGTCACCCCAAAAAAGATCTTTTGGGTCCTTTTCCAGTCACTGTCTGATCCCACTCCCAGCCCCAGGAAACCACAAATCTATTTGCTGTATCCATAGATTTGCCTTTTCTGGTCGTTTCGTACAAATGGGATTATACAATCTGTGGTCTTTGTATCAGCTTCTTACATTAGGTATAATGTTTCCAAGGTTTGCCCATGTGGTAACATGTATGAGTATTTTGTTCTCTTGATTGCTAAATAATATTCCATTGTATGGATAGACCACGTTTTATCCGTTCATCGGTTGATGGGCATGTGGGTTGTTTGTACTTTTTGGCTGTTGTGAATAGCACTGCTGTGAAAGTTTGCACGCAGATCTTTGAACACATGTTTTCGATTCTCTTGGGTAGAGGAGTGGAATTGCTGGGTCATAAGATACATTTATGTCTAACTTATTAAGAAACTGCCAAACTGTTTTTCTGAAGTGGCTGTACCATGTTGCATTCCCACCAGCAGTATCTGGGCTTAGTATTGTCTTTGTTGATATTTGAGGTTGCATTTTTGGTCCCTGGTTTCAATGAGAATTTGGGCTGGGAATTCTGGGAGCCACTGGAGCTTGAAGAAATGAATGGCAGGTGGGGGGCATACAACAAAATCGCACATCCTCAGGTGTTCTAAAACAGCACTGTCCCATAGAACATGTAGATGATATATATCTGAACCATCCTGTACGGTAGCCACTACCCGTTGTGGTTACTGAGCACATGACTATGGCTTGTGCAACCGAGGAACTGAATTTGTGATTGCATTTCATTTAAATTAACGTAGAAGTACTAAATTTAAATAACTACAGGAGGCTAGTGGCTGCTGTATTGGACAGTGCAGTTCTAGAAGTTCAGGATCACCACTCAGTATGTTCTGGGTCCTTGAATCTTTCAGAGGATTGAGCAGAGTTCAAACCTTTTAATCATACATAGCTGGAATAGGCGTGGGGCTCAGGGACTAGGGGCTGCATGTACAGGAATATTGTGTCTAGATGGTGCTCAGTGACTCAGAGAAGAGGGGATTTAAATTGGGGCATCTTGTAGAGGCACTAAAAGAGAGTGGACGGGCTCTGGAGCTAGGAGGACCCAGGTGCAAATCCTAGCCCTGTTGCTTCCCAAGCCTGAGACCTGGGGCAACTGACCTATTCCCTCCTAGCCTCAGTTTTCTCATCTGCAAAATGGAAGTACTAATATCTCTCTCGAAGGACTGCTGTGAGGCTCAGAGAATAATTCCTCTAAATCCCCTAGCTCAGTGCCTACCACTTAGTCAGTGTGGGAAAGGATCAGCTTCTGTTATTGTTATCTTTATTGTTGGTACTATTCTGCCTGGCCCCCAGGACTGGATCAATGCCATGTCAGCCCAGAATCCCATCCTCATCCGTGAAAGCTGGGATGTTAGACTGTCAGCATCACACAGGCAGGGACTTTGCGGTGGCCACTGTTGGATCCCCAGTGCCTGGAACAGTGCCTGGCACAGAGGGGATGCTCCTTACATGTTTGTTGAATGAATAAATGCGTACATGCTACTGGCTTGTTGGCAAGCAGCGTGTAGGCATCTTGAGGGTTCCTGGAGAAAACAACACCCTCCTTCAGAAATGTGACTTGAAAAATAGCACTGGGTTCAATGCCAGTGGCGGCCTGTCTTGAGTGAAGGCAGAGACAGCTTCCCTGTCCTTAAATGGCTTCATCCAGCTGGAGCGTGGCTGTGGCTCAGGCCAGTCTAAGGTCATCCAAGGCGGGTGGTAGAATGGGTGAGGCTTGGCCAGGTCAGATCCACCTCCCACCACCAGGGAGCCATAGGAGAGGTTCACACAGTGAAATAACACAGCCCCAAAATGTGCATGGGTTTACATACAGGTAATTCTCCCAGGCCCTAAAACATCAGGATGTGCTCACTTTTCCCACAGCAGTGCCCCCACTCAAGCCTGTTTGGGGGAACCCAGTGGTTTCATCCCTTTCATCTGGAATTTCCTGCTACCCTCACTTCTTTCTTCCCTTTCTTGCTGCTGTTCTTGATCTCTCCTTCCCCACCCTGGACCCTAAAGTGAGATATTTCCATTCTTCCAGAATTATAATTTTTTTGTTTTATTTATGTGAAATATTCTTTAGTTATCAAAATCTTTTCATACTCATTATTGTCATTCCGTGGGCAGAGAAACTTGGTGAGGTGAATATTCATTTAAAAATTGTCTATTAAGGCCAGGTGCGGGTGGCTCATGCCTGTAAGCCCAGCATTTTGGGAGGCCGAGGTGGATAGATCACTTGAGTTCGGGAGTTTGAGACCAGCCTGGCTAACATGGCAAAACCCCATCTCTACTGTAATACAAAAATTAGCCGGGTGTGGTGGTGAACACCTGTAATCCTAGCTACTCAGGAGGCTGAGGTGGGAGAATCGCTTGAACCTGGGAAGCGGAGGTTGCAGTGAGCCGAGATTGTGCCACTGCACTCCAACCTGAGGTACAGAGTGAGACCCTGTCTCAAAAAAAAAAAAAAAAGTGTCTATTGGGTTTGGACCAGGCACTGGCCTAGATGCTGGAGCTATGGAGGTGAACAAAACAGACAAGAGTCCCTGCCCTCCCGGAGCTTTAGTCCTAGGAAGGAGGCTGATATTAAATATGCAGATAACTATCTTTGCAAATGATGTTGAATGCCCTGTGGAAAAGGAGGAAGGAGAAAGTGGATCTGCTTTAGAGGCAGGGGTGCCAGTGGGGCCAGCGAGGGCCCTGCTGAGAAGGTGGCAGCACTGGGGGGGATGGGGAGGGATTGCAGGCTGCAGGTACTGCACATGCAAATGCCCTGAGGTGAGAAAGAGGCTGGCTCATCGGAGGCCCAGGAGCAGCAGGTGTAGCTGGAGTGCATAGAGTTGGGCAGAGAGGGGCCCCCCTAAGGTATAGGAAGCTGTGAGCAGTAGCCTGGCCCTCTAGGCCCAGTGAGAAGTCTGATTTCAATCTAAGACCATGGCAAAAATCATGGACAAGTTTCAAGCCAAGGAAAGAGAAGAGATGATTCACGTTTTGAGCGACTCACTCCATCCACCATGTGGAAAATGCAGGCAAGGGTGGGTGCGGAGAGAGAAGGGAGGAGGCCTCGGAAATAATCCAGGCAGGGGAGGGTAGCAGCTTGGACAAAGGCGGCAGTGGGAGTGGGTATTATTTCTGGACGTTGGCGGGATTGAAGAGACGTGGCTGGGATTCGTTCAACATCACTATTATTCTAGTGGTACAAGTGAGGACACTGAAGCTCGGAGAGGCACGCTGACTTGCCCTGGGGTTAGAGCTAGCAAGAGCAGCAAGCAGGATTCGAACTCGGGCTTTCCTGGTGCTGGAATCTGCATTCTGTACTTCAGTACTACTCTGGGCAGCTCAGTGTGGTATCCAGCCCCATCTCTCTAGCTGAAATGATGCCCACAAACATTATCCCCATTGCGCAGATTAGGAAACAGACTCAGGCGTTAGGATTTCCTGGCTGGAGAACACCAAAGACAGGATTTGAACCCAGCCCACACACCTAAGTTGGGAATGTGCGTGCCCTGCATCCTGGGCCTCTTCAGGCTCTGCAGAAACAAAGGGAATGAGATGGGTGGAGAGAAGGTCACGGATCCACAGGCCCTGGTCTAGGGCAGGCCGGTCTGTCATGCTCAGGTTTTCTCTTAGTCAATAGAGTAAGAACTCAATTCTGCTGAGACGTCTGGGTGCATCTGTGTATGTGTGTGTCTCCATGTGAACGTGTCTGTCTGTGGTATGTGTCTCTGTGTCCCGGCGTCCCTGTATCTATGTTTGTACGTGTGTTTCTGTGTGTTTGTGTGTTACATGTATGGATCTCTGTGTGTCTGTGTGTATGTATGTGTCTGTGTGTGCATTTATGTGTCTGTGTGTATTTATGTCTCGTGTGTCTGTGTGTCCATCTACAGTCACAGAGGAAAAAGCCCGCAGGAAGGCTCTTTTCTACAGCACTCTGTTTGCGTGCTGCGTGGTACCCTGCTCTTCGGTTTTTCACAGATGAACATGCATTACTGTACTGTTAGAATCAGGAGGGGAGGTGAACAGAGATAAAAGTCTCCTCGGGTTGCGGGGGAGAGAGCATTTGGAGAGAAAGCTTTTGCCTGTGTTGTTTTGGGAAGTGGCTTTTTATGGTTTGGGGAGAGGAGAGGACACCCCCTCTTGCAGCAAGGATCCGAGCCCTGTCTTTGAACTCTCCCACAGCTGGATCTGCACCTGCCCTGTGTAGCTGTCCCTGGCCATACCTTTATTTACAGGGGAGGCAGTTGGGGGTCTCGGGTGCAGCTTCAGGTAATTAAAGTCAGCTGGATAGGCATTTCACATTCATGTTGATAATAAGCACTTTAATAAAATGTAGAAAGATAAAATGGGATTTTTTTTTTAGGTTGTGTTTTTCTTTCCCTCCCTCCCCCATTCTTTCCTTTCTGGAAGTGGCAAGAACTGTATCTCAGGACCCCGTACAGCTTGATGTGAAATACACCCGGGACAGGGAACGGCTACTTGGACACTGTTTGTGGAGTGCTGGGGGGAGGCTAGGATGGGAGCTTCTGTCGTGGGGTCATCTGGGAAGCAGGAGCCTCATGGCAGACTCTCGGGTAACCCTACCTGGCCAGCCCCCATTCAATCCAGGCCTCCCTCCCGGAGGTGTCGTCACTTGGCTCAGTGTCTTCAGACCCCAAAAGAATAGCCATGATGTACGTATAGGATGCAGCCAAATTTGGGGTGTCCCCAGGAGTCAGGAAGTCCAGCAGAATTGGTGGGGGGCAGGAACATTTAGTTCGACCTCTCATTCTCTCTTCCTCCTTATCACCCCTACGAAAATTTTCTCTTTATGAATGCTTCCATCTTCGTGCTTACAAACTAGCCTCCGCGGGGGCATTTATATTAGCAGTGATGCTTCCCATTTGTTTAGGAAGAAATTGCATCTACTGGTTTCTGCTGGGCCTCTCCGTAAACCCTCGAGGCATCCTTGCTCTCATTTAAACAATAGTGGGGCAGGGGGAGGTCAGGCACTCGGCAAAGTCAACAGCAGGCAGGGGACAAGCCTGTGTAGCCCCTGGGCTAAAATGGCTTGTGACCACCCTGGCCGCCCCTCGTTTGAGGGCCTCCCCTCTCAATCTCACCTTCAGCCTCCCTGGCCGGGGCTTCTAGTTGCTGGGAGGCATTGGCTCCTTGCCAGTCCCTGAAATCCATCAGCGCCCTCTCCTGCCTGATGCCTCCACCCACCTTCCCCTCCGCTGGTAGCAGGGGATGGTGTGTCTGCTCTGCCAGCCTCTAGGCTCAGTCTCTTGCCCGCACGGTTCCCTGCAGCTGCCTGGAGGTGGGGGTGGCACCTCTGCTCAGCCAACCCCTCTGGCTCCCAATCGCTTCTTGCCTTGGTCCCACAACTTCCCAACCTAATCCCCACGAGGCTGTAAGATACATCCAGATGGTCACCCATTCCCCAACAGCCTGACGGTTCCAGCCCCACTCATGCCCACAGCTCCCTCCTCCTCTAGTGCCTTCCCCCAGGCCCCACGTGCCCTTAGGCGCAGCTCTCTCCAGGTGTGCTTTTCTTGGGACTACGCCTGCATATTTGTGTGGCAGTCCTCCCCAGTCCTCCCCAGAGCCCAAGGCTCTCGGAACCCTACCCAGCATACAGTGGGCGCTTAATAAATGCTTCCCTACCTGGCACCTTCTCAGCCCTGCACCTGGCACCTTCTCAGCCCTGCATGCCAGAGAATTTTTCCAGAGCTTCCTGAGGTTCCCACAGACTTTCTTCCCACCCCCAGATGCTCCCAACCTTGAAAAAGAGGCTGCTGCAAGAAATGAGTTAGAGAAAAGATGTTGAAAGTGGCAGACTTCAGAGAGGATGCAGTGGTTTGGAGAAGAGTGGACCAGAGTTCAAAGCCCAGCTCTGCTTTTGCCTGATTGTGACCTTGAGGCAGTGACATGATCTCTCAGGGACTCGTTTTCCCAGCTGCAAAAGGAATTATTAGGAACACAGACCTCCCAGAAGATGCAGTGGGCCAAGGCGTTAAAAGTGCCCTCATGCAGTAGGCGTTCAGCTTCTGTGATGTGAGTCATTGCCACTGTGGCCCCTAGCAAAAGCCTGGCATGTAGTAGGTGCTCAGTAAACATTCATTGACGAATGAATGAGTGAATGATCATTTTGTGGGATCCCTTTCCCCTGCCCCCATTTTGCCGGGGGAAGCACTCTCTGGCCTCTCACCCAGTTGGACCAGACGTGTCAGCCCTAAGAGGGGCACAAGGGGTCCCCAGCCCCTCACCTGACACCTGTCAGAGTGGGGGCTATTTTGTTTTCCTGGTGCCCGTGTGGTTTTAAATTCCGAGAACTCCGGAATATAAATCAGCAATCAAGGGCAGGAGGAAGTGATCGGATGTGGCTCTGGTTTTCGGGGCTTGCCGACAAGATAATTAGGCGTTTGATTGGCATCCTCTCTCAAGGACAGCCACCTCCAGGTCCCGCCTGCACAGGAGCAGGCTTGTTTTCCTGCCTGATGCTTGTGGCAGGGGACTGATGGGGGTGACGGGTGGGATTGGGGACCCAGAGTTAGCCAGTCTTTCATCTGTTCATTTGTTCATTCATTAATTCAAAGTATTGAGCACCTAGTGTGTGCCAAGCATCGGGACACAGCAGTGACCCAAACGGACAAAGTCCTTGTGCTTGTGGAGCTGACATTGGAGGGGGCAGGAGGCGGGCAGGGAAAGCAGGCAATAAACAAATGGAGAAGTGACTACATAAATGTGTCAACGGCAAGGGCTTGGGAGAAAAATAAGCAGAGGGCGGCTGAGGTAGAGAGGAGGTGCTTACTGTTTTAAATAGGACGGCAGGACAGGCTTCTGGGAGAAGGTGGTATAAGAGCTAAGCCTCCGAGCAGGTGAGGAAAGAGGGAGCAGCCAGTGCAAAGGCTCCGAGACAGAAACGTGCTTAGTGTGTTCAAGAATCAATAAGGGCTGGGCACCATGGTTCACGACTATAATCCCAGCACTTTGGGATGCCAAGGTGAGCGGATCACTTGAGGTCAGGAGTTAGAGACCAGACTGGCCAATGTGGTGAAACCCCATCTCTACTAAAAATATAAAAATTCGCTGGGCGTGGTGGCACACGCCTGTAATCCTAGCTACTCAGGAGGCTGAGGCAGGAGAATCACTTGAACCCAGGAGGCGGAGGTTGAAGTGAGCCAAGATCATGCCACTGCACTCCAGCCTGGGCAACCGAATGAGACTCTGTCTCAAAAAAAAAAAAAAAAAAAAAAATCAGTAAGGGCCAGGTGCAGTAGTGCACTCCTGTAATCCCAGCACTTCAGGAGGCTGAGCCAGGAAAATCACTTGAGCCCAGGAGTTCAAGACCAGCCTGGGCAACTTAGTGAGACCTTGTCCCTACAAAAAAATAAAAAGTTAGTTGCACGTGGTGGAGCACGCCAGTAGTCCTAGCTACTCAGAAGGCTGAGGTGGGAGGATCGCTTGAGCCCAGAAGGTTGAGGCTGCAGTGAGCTGTGATTGTGCCACTGTACTGCAGCCTGGGTGACAGAGCAAGACTCTCTCTCAAAAAAAAAAAAAAAGAAAAAAAAGAAAAAGTCAAGAAGGACCCATGTGCCTGGAGCAGAGTGGGCCGGAGGGTGTAGAAGGAAGTGAAGCCCAACACGAATCATATGGGACCTTGACTCAGACTCACATGGGAGCCATGGAAGGGTTTTGAGCAGAGGAGGAACAGGATATGAGTTGGGTTTAACAGGATCTCTGTGGCCGCCAAGTGGGGAAGGGGCTGTAGGAGGGTGAAAGTGCCAGTAGAGAGCCCAGTGAGGAGGCTCCTGTGGTCACCTAGGCAGGCAATGACAGTGGCCTGGCCCAGGTGGCAACAGTAGAGAGGAGGAGAAATTGTTAGATCAGGCTGACAAGATTTGCCAATTTACATCAGCCTGATGATACCTAAGGCAGGCGGAGCAGCTGCTGCCTCCCAACTCCCAGGGCCTCAGGGCTGGTGGCAGCCCCAGCCCAAGTGCCAGCCTTGGCCCAAAGCATCCAGCCCTTCCCAGGCACCTCCCATAGCCTGGAACCCCTGCAGTCCACCAGCCTGTCGTCCTGCCAGTCCCCAGAGAGAGGTGATGCCCTGGCTGCATTTTGCAGCAGTGAGAGTCCTAGATACAGAGAGGCCACAGGTCTGCCTAAGCTCACAGAGCTGGCAAGCAAGAAGGTCAGGACCTGAACCTAGTCTGCCTGCCAAATGCTGGCTCTTGGCCTGCCTCAAACTAAAAAACCAACCACTGCCTGGGCTTTCTGGAAGCCTGAGCTACGGAGCTGCCAGGTGGGCCTGATGTCCCACAGTTGTAATTGCCTGTTGTGCTCCCCATGTAACCACATGCTCCATGTGCGCAGGACCTGGGTCTGTCTTGTCCCTGGTAACACTGTAGGCACACAAAAAGTAGTTATTGAGTGGATAGATGGATGGGTGGATGGACAGACAGATGGACCAGGCCTGGTCATGCTCCTGGTCTTCAGGCCACGGCAGACCTTGTAGAGACAGTTTAGGGAAAGATTGTCCTCCAGGGAAACAACCCAGAGGAAAATCAGAAAGTTATAGGTTCGGGTCCCCATGATGGCACTTCCTCGCCGTGTGATGTGGGACGAGTGGCTTTGTCTCTCTGCAGGTACCGTGCATCAGATGACACCTGCATCCTAAGACCCTTCATTGGCTCCCTCAACAGATGTTTCTAGAGAATCCACTGCACTCTAGATGCCACTGGGAGAGGGAAATGAACTTTTGTAGTGCTGGTCATTGTGGACCTAGTCGACAGCCAGCCCTCTATGGGGCAGTTGTTATCCTGCTGTTCTCACAGCACTGGGAGTTTGCTAAGAAGTTGTTGGCAGTCTTTTGGCTCACACACAGGCCTGAGGCTTGGCTCTTTGATCCGAATGTGAACTGTCCATCACCCTGGCCCAGCTGATAGAACGCGGGGAAGCCAGCTTGGCTGGGAACTGTTTCTCATAGGCACCACCCCTTGCCCTGGCCTCGGATAATTGGCCCAATACATCTTGGCATCTGAAATTTACATACGGCGCAGGGAGTGATGGATGGCTCTGGTAACCCGGGCTGTCTCCCAGCCACGGCTCAGTTATCCATCTCGGCGGGCTGCGGAGCCATCCGTCTTGTCTTGTCTTGTCTCCTCACTTATGGCAGGCCGGCGGGTGCCCTCCATCCCGGGTCATCCCCCAGCCCCCTCCCAGAGCTGGCCCTCTGAGGCCCCTCTGAAGGCGACACTCCCAACCTGCCCCGCAGTAGATAGAACAAGTCCCTTTGCTCTGAACATCCCCTGAAGCCCTCCTCAGTGTTTGCCGGCAACTCTGATAGCAAAATCCTGAAGGACCTCCATGGGCCCAAGATGCAGAATAGGACATTTGCTCCCACAAAGTTGTCCCTCCATCCCCCCGCCACAAGGGGCTTCTCATACTTACTCCACTAATAGTCATTCCACAAATATTTATTGAATGCCCACTGTGCACCAGGCGTTGAACTAGAACCCCTGGATAGCTGTGAACAAGAACTGTATCACCCAGTCATGCACACAGCCCCCACCCTTGAGGGACTGTGTGCCATTGGTGGTTGTCAACACTCTGAAGACCCTAGACACCAAGCCAAGCACTTGACCTGCTTACAGTCTGGTTCTCAAGGGGTCCTGACAACCCTATGGGCACGAATTCTTAGCCCCATTTTATAGACACAGAAACGGAGGCTGAGTCACCTATCCAAGGTCACAATGCTAGTGAGGCATCAAAGCCAACGTTTGAACCCAGGTCAGTGGTCTGTGAACCATGTCACTGTTTCCCAGACAGACCGGGCTCTTTAGGGGTCTCTGGCCTTGACACATAGCATTCACTCATTCATTCGACCAACAAACATTTCTAGAATGCCTACTGTGTATCAGGAACTCTTCTAGGCACTGAGGATATCTTGTTCTCATGGAGCTTTCATTTTAGTAAAGAAGTAAAATACACAGTGTATTTGGTAGTGATACATGTTAAGGAGAAGAAAACTCAAGACAAGAACCGGAAGACCAGGACAAGTGTAGTTGGTGCACACCTGTAATCTAAGCACTTTGGGAGGCCAAGGCAGAAGGATTGCTTGAGCCCAGGAGTTTGAGGCCAGCCTGAGCAACATAGCAAGGCCCTGTCTTTACAAAAAATAAATTAGCTGGGTGTGGTGGTTTGCACCCATGGTCCCAGCTACTTGGGAGGCTGAGAAGGGAGCATTGCTTGGGCATGGGAGGTTGAAGCTGCAGTGAGCCAGGATTGTGCCACTGCACGCCAGGCTGGACTACAAAGCAAAACCCTGTCTAAGAAAAAAAAAGTTAAGGGCTTTTGCAACATTCCCATTTCCTCTGCCTGGGTTGCTTGGCTTCTTTATCTGACAGATTCTTCATCCTTCCAGACACAGGTCAGATGGTCCTATCTTGGCAACTCTTTTTCCCAATCACAGTAAGTAACCTTGCTCTCTGTGTTCCTGTCATACTGTTTTTATACTTCTCATAGTGTATGTCGGCACATAGTGTTAGAATGGCTCTCCTTGTCTACCACACTGTACTGTGAACTCCTCAAGGACAGAGACTGTGTTGGTTGGTTTCTGTACACCAGTACCTAGCACTGTGCCTGACACAGAATTGGGCCAGTGATTAGTTGGATGGTTGATTGGATGGGGTTAGATAACTAACCCACCTATCCACCCAAGGATGGATGACTGCTTGAGTGATTGGGTACCTGGATGCTGGACAAGATCAGTTGGGTGAATAGATGAATGGATGATCCTTTTCTAGATGATCAACTGTTGGATAAATAGATGGTTGGTTAGGTGGGTAGACATATAATTGGATGAATAGATAAAGGCATGGTTGGTTGGATGGGTAGATGTATAACTGGATGAAAATGGATGGTTTGGTAGATAGATGTATGATTGGATGAATGCATAAATGGATGGTGGTTGGATGGGTGGATGTATGTCTGGATGAATGGATAAATGGATGATTAGTTGGGTAGATAGATGTATGATTAGATGAATGGATAAATGGATGGTGGTTGGGTAGTTGGACGGATGTTGGATAAAGGGCTTCCAGCCTGGTTAGCACTTCAGTGGTTACTGGCAGCCCCTGCCCAACTTGGGACCACACTATGATTTAATTAGAAGAGGTAGATTGAAGCTCTACCTCTCCTTTGCCTGATCAGTTTCCATACCCACCCAAAGGCAATACAAAAGACATGTTAGGGTTTCACTCTTCTCCAAGCCTGCACTAAAGATAATGTCTCTGCATGATGGCCTTTGTCACCTTTCACTAAAATTACTTATACCCAAGCTTGTCTGGTTTCTGAGCTCTTGGAGGATCCAGGCTATATCGGGCTTATCATTTCCATCCTCCTTATGAAATGCCTAGCACATCAGAGACCATGAATGCATTGATGGACGAGTGGATGGGTAGATGAGTGGGTGGACAGATGAGGTCCAACATCTTCGGTTGCATCCCCCTGTAGTAAGGTGAAAGCAGAGCCCCTGTTTGGATTTGGGGGGTTGGTGACTGTACTGGAAGTCATAATCACTGCTCATCTTTGTTTCTGAAACCTGGCCTGGAATCTCGACCATCACTTCACATACATATCCTTACAAGAGATACTGTACATAAAGTGCTTAGTGCACTCAATAAATATTAGTATATATGGTGTAATAGACTCTCAATAAATGTTAACTATGAGCTATTGTTTCCTATAAGGAACTTCTGTGTAAATGTTCTAGGGCTTAAAAAAAATCTGGTAGCAAATATCAGAAAGAGTTAACAGGGGCTCAAAGCAGACACCTAACTTGGAGGGGTGTCTGGGAAGCCTTTCTGGAAGAGGAGACATTTAAGCTGACACACAAAGAGATGAGTAAGATCAACCACAAAGACAGAATGAGTTCATCTGAGCTGAGGGAAAGGAGACTGTGGAACCACGGAGTCAGAAGGTTCTGGTGCATTTCGGTTTCTGCACGGAATTTGGTCCAGCTGGGAAGGAAACAAGGAGAAGGGGAAGTGGGAGGGACCCAGGGACACCCAGGAGTGAGGAGATTGTCCTAGGCCAGGTTTTAAACCAGGAGGGACATACTGAGAAAGAGATTGTTTGTCTTCATGGAATCTCTTTAAAGCCTAGGAACAACTGAGGTCCTCAATTCCTTAAACCCAGCTCCCAACAATCACTTTTTAGGTTTCTTCTCGGAGGTGGCCTTAGGGGGATATGTCTGAGTGTGAGGTGTCCTTGGAGCTGAGAAGATTGTGGGCACAGATAGGCGGGATCTCAGGTTGTGTCTTAACATGTGTTCCCCTCATAAGAACACAGATTCTAGCCCAAGGCTCTTCATATAGCTGACACTTTGGGATCAGGTGTGAAATTACTTTAAAAACTAAGTGTTCTTGTAAAATTCCCAGTCCCTCCTGGTTGGGGAAACCCAGACGAATTGAGAATGCTAGACTTGCTTCCCCATAGATAACCAACCATAGGATCCTTCCCTAGCCAAGACCCACCCTCCCCTCTGAGAAAATCCAACCTCTTAACTATGTGTGATGTGGGTGGGTAACCAAAAGTATCTGTGCCTCCGTTTTCTCATCTTTAAATGGGAGACTCAGATATGATTCATATTTACTGAAGTGTGGGACACATACCCACTGACGGGACATGAAATTGTAAGCATTCAGTAGAGCCAGTGTTAGAAGGGATTGACTTGGGTTCTGAGGAACAGTTCTGCCTTATCTCTTCCACCCTTCTTCATTCCAACAAGCAGAAAGTCTCTGTAGGGGACTGCATTAACACCCCTCCAGCACTTGCTAACCTTTTATAACAAACACAGGCAGCAATGATTTGTTTTTGGTTATACTTTTGTTTTAATGGCTACCATCTGTTTATGGTACATGATTCTCTAGTGACAAGAAAGTGTCCTTTTTAAATACACTTATTTAGGTTTAAAAAAAGGGAAGGAGTCATTAGGTAAAAGTCAGGAATAGGAAAAATGTGTCTGTGATGCCAGGGTCCAAATCATCGTTACTTTTAGGGGGTACTGACAAGGAGAGAGTACTCTAGGGAGTTTTCACAGGCACTAGGAACGTGAACGTTCTACATCTTGAACTGGGTAGTGCTTACTCAGGTGTAAACCATTCACTAAGCTTTCACTTGAGCCTAGGAGTTCGAGACCAACCTGGGCAACATGGCGAGACCCCCATCTCTACAAAAAATAAAAACTAGCCTGGCGTGGTAGCACATGCCTGTAGTCCCAGCTACCCAGGAGGCTGTGGGAGGGTCACCTGAGCCTGGGAAGTGAAGGCTGCGGTGAGCTGTGATCATGCCATTGCAGTCCAGCCTGGGTGACAGAGCAAGACCCTATCTAAAAAAAAATTTTGTAATTCACTAAGCTTAACATTGAACTATGGAACTTAAAGTGATCCATATCTCAAAAAGAGAACCATAGGAGTCCCTTTGAAGAGAAATATTAATTAATCATATTTTAGATGCTATATCAATATGACAAAATTCACACAGAGGGACATGAGTGGTCAAAGTTTGGACAGCAGTGACCTGAGCGACCTTGAGGATTCCTTCTAGCTCATATGTTCTGAGTGCCTTGGAGGACTAAGTCCCAAGACTGTTCAGCACACCAATGGCAAACCCTCTCAGAGACAGGGGCTCTCACTAGGCAGTGGGCACTTCCAGGGGGTACTGCAGATCCCATCAGAAGAGCCCCTTCCTCCAAGCCCCCGGCTTCTCCTGCAGCACCCGGTCCCGGGTGCAGCTCAGCCCCGGCCTCCTTTCTCTCTGCACATTGGCCCGAGCCTCAGCTGCATCTATCATCTGCTTCAGGCTCATTAAAATTATTTCTTTTTAGTTGCAAATGGGCTGTTTATGATGATCATTATTTGAATGGTCTGCGCCGGGCTCCGGGCTGTCTGTCTGCTGCTGATGGCCAGTTAATCAGATGAGTCTCCTCCCTGCCTGGGCCTGGCCCAAAGTCTGGGGCTGTGTTAATCATGGCTCCCCCAGGGCTGGGGGGCTGGTGGGGCCAGCAGGGGCTGGGTAGGAGAAGATCCTGATTTCTTTTTGATTACCAGAGCTGTGTGTGTGGTAGTTTGGACATGCTTTCTAAAACTCAGTTTTAGACCAGTGCTGGTTTATGTTTGTGACAGAATTTTTTTCCATTCCTTCAAAATAGATATAGTGCCATGAGCTTTTTAATTTTAGCTGTGTGTATTATGAAAGACCCGTGCCGATGCTGTCATTGGCCCTCTTGCTTTGCTGATATTCAAATATCCTTTCTTTTAGGGTGGGAGGGAGTGGTTTTTAATGTCTTTGCTTGATACAGTAACATTTGGCAATACTCTACCGGTCTTCCTTTCATTTTAAAACAGAATTTTTACTGAGCTGTGAAATCCAAAATTCTTGGAATCATTGATCTGGTGGGGTGTTTTCTTAGCTGTCAGTTTATCTAAACATAAGATTAATATCAGCCAAGGCCAGGCACAGTGGCTCACACCTGTAATCCCAACACTTTGGGAGGCCACAGCAGGTGGATTGCTTGAGTCTAGGAGTTTGAGACCAGCCTGGCAACATGGTGAAACCCTGTCTCTACCCCAAAAAAATGCAAAAATTAGCTAGGCATGATGGCACATGCCTATAGTCACAGCTACTAGGGAGGCTGAGGTGGAAGGATCGCCTGAGCCTGGGAGGTCGAGGCTGCAGTGAGCTGTGACTGCACTACTGCACTCCAGCCTAGGTGACAAGAGTGAGACCCTGTCTCAAAAAAAAAAAAAGACAACATTTATTGAACACTTGAAGCTTTACACATCCATATCATTTAAAACAAATGCCCTGAACACCCCCCAGCTGATGGAGACGCAGAGCAGAAGCCCGCTGAAGAGAAGGGCATTAAAAAATATGCCTTTATAATCCACCAAGGAGATAATCCACACCTCAGTTATTAGAATTGACTGTAGTATATTTCCAAGCCCCTGTTTGAATCACCATACAGACAAGACACATTAATGTGTTTGTTCCATGAGATGATGTATGTTAGGAGCTTAGCATAGTGCCTGGTACATGTAAGCTTTCCATAAATGGTAGTTATGAGTATTTACTATTATTATTATTGGTGTTAGTGTGTTTACCAGTGAACTGTGGCAAGAATTCAGGGTTGAAGGACAAGCATAGATTTAGGCAAAATTGAGAAGAACGTGGATGTCAGTGACTTCGTCTGCTCGAGGAAAGACACCAAGGGCTGGGCTTGCAGTGGGGTCAGGGTGAGGGGACTGGTGATATCCCCCTGCCTTCCCTGGCTCTGTTCTCTCTGCAGTGTGGACACAGCAGACATCCTGCCTGTCAGATTTGCACCCACCAGCAGCCTGGGAGGTGCAGGTGGAGGGAGTCAGGCATAATTGTCTGTGAGGACACATCAGGTGGTTGGACTTATCCTGCTCTGCAATTTCCTTTCAGAACCTGGGCTGGATGTTTTTAATGAGAGGCAAAGTTCACCCCCACCAGGTATATTGGTTGCTGCATTGTGGGAAGGCACCAGTGTCCCTGCAATAAGAACATAGTGTCAGACACGGCCGGGTGTGGTGGCTCACGCCTGTAATCCCAGAATTTTGGGAGGCCGAGGTGGGTGGATCATGAGGTCAGGAGATCGAGACTATCCTGGCTAACACGGTGAAACCCTGTCTCTACTAAAAATACAAAAACTTAGCCAGGCTTGGTGGTGGGTGCTTGTAGTCACAGCTACTCGGGAGGCTGGGAGGCAGGAGAATGCCGTGAACCTGGGAGGCGGAGCTTGCAGTGAGCTGAGATGGCGCCACTGCACCCCAGCCTGGGCGACAGAGTGAGACTCCGTCTCAAAAAAAAAAAAAAAAGTGTCAGACACACAATAATCCAAGATAGAGAGCTGTAAACCCATGTCCCAGTTCTGTTTGTCCTGTAGCAATGTGAAAATCACATCTTTGTCTTCAAGAGAGATGAGAAAAACTAAGAAGAGCTGGGAGTACGCTGCTGCAACTCAAATTGACCCTGGCCCTCCAGTTTTTTTCTCTCCTGCCAAGTGAGATTCTGTCCACCTGGCCGCGCCAGTCTACCTTTGTCTATTGCTGCAAACACTGATCTCTCCTGTCACTGGATATTTCGGTTGTGGTCAGTTGTAGTTTCTGTATTAGAAACTGTGATTAGTTTTAAGTGATGATGAACCAGAATTCCCCCTTTTTGCTCATAACACCTTGTTCCTCACCTGGCTTAATCCTGATAAAAACCGGGCTTTTAAACTGGAAGCCCCCATGTACTTTCAAGTGGGAGTACCCTGTGCTTCGGCAAGAATTGGTTTCAGCACCTTGGAGAGCACCTGTTTCCGCTCCCCCACCAAAATAGAGACAGGGTCTCTCTCTGTCACCCAGGCTGGAATGCAGTGGCACCATCACAGCTCACTGCAGCCTTGACCTCCTGAGCTCAAGCAGTCCTCCCACCTCAGCCTCCCAAGTAGCTTGGACTATAGGTAATTGTTCTATTTTTTGTAGAGAGGAGGCCTCACTATGTTGCCCAGGCTGGTCTCAAACTCTTGGCCTCCCAAAGTGCTGAGATTACAGGCATGAGCCACTGCACCTGGCCCTTGCCTCTATTTCAAAGCTACTTTGGTGCCTCTACCTTCTCCCTTCTAGTCTCATAATTTTCTAAAGAAGTTAGACATTTCTCCAGAAATAGAAGTTCCTTCTTGGATTTCTACAAAGAAATCCATAGGTCAGGGACACTCATCCCAGCTTGGGGTGCCAGGTTTATGGTGCTCTGGTGAGCTGCTATTGAGCAGATTTACTGACTCTCAGACATGATATAAGACAATTACCATGCATTTCGTCTCTTAGAGGGAAAAGAATTTGCAGTGGGTTAATAGTACTTTTATTTCATTATCTAATGGCAAAAGTGTTTCATTGTGTGTGCAAGAGGAATGTGTATTAGTGATGACAAATGGGGTCTTTCAACACGGTGCCGGGCCTCATCATACATATGTTAGATTAAAGAGTTCACCCTAGAAATACACTCCCGCATCTGCGTGTGTGTTTTTAATAAATCTGATTGCAGAAATTTATTGCATCACCGGATTTAGGAAATTATGGGGCTTGATTGCTGCAAATATAATCGGATGATATATACAGAAATGCTCCTCGAGTTATGGTCCAGAAAAAAAGCCCATCTCGGGATGGTGCAAGGAAGCAGCCGACCACATAAACAGAGCATTTCTTGAATTATGCAAATGAAATCCATGACAACTCATGGTGAATTGTACTCCCCTTGTGAAACTGCCACCATTAAAGTGAAGAAAGCTTCAAGAGGGGTGATCAAATATACATGCACGACCAGCAGACATTGTCTGTGATGTGTGTGAGCCGAAGCATCCCCCCTTCCATCTCTCTCTCTTTTTCCCTCGCTGGTACATCCTATAAAAACCTGGTCTGATACCTTCCTTGCATATAAGCCAGCAAAGCACCTTCCAATCCATTTCTTCTGAATCCAGGAGTCTTCAATGAAATATTTCTTAGACTTGAAGTGAACCTTAAATGATTTACTGCGAGATACACAAAAGGTCAGCTTACTTCTTATTGGCACCTTCATTTTTCCAAAATCTACTGAAATTAAAAAGCCATCTATATCTTAAAAGGCGTATTTATGAACCTTTAAGTGTAAGTAAGTCATAGTTGGAGCCGTTCCCACCTCTGATATATGAAAGCTGTCGACAGCACTTTCTTCCACTATAATATGCCCATACAATATGCCGCACTTTACTATTTTGACATGGTCTGGAGATGTTTTCTACAGTTACTGACAAGCTTATGCCATCACTCCTTTGGAAATTTAAGAGGTGGGGCAGGGGGTGGGGGGAAGAGATGGAAAAAAAAAACAACCAACTCCACCCAACTTTATAGAAGATTATTGATCTGGCCTGACTTCCGAC
This sequence comes from Homo sapiens, assembly GCF_000001405.40. Classification (NCBI taxonomy): domain Eukaryota; kingdom Metazoa; phylum Chordata; class Mammalia; order Primates; family Hominidae; genus Homo; species Homo sapiens. The sequence continues at coordinate 111,213,984 of NC_000012.12, forward strand.
GAGCAAAAAAAGCTGTCCTGGATTTTTTTTCAGTTGCATCCCAGTTTTGTAAATTATTTATTTGTGCCAGGAGTCAATATCCTGTCTTTTCTCAGCTTTGTAAGTTAAGAAAACTTGTTCAGAATGCTGTTTTGTACAGTGGTTAAAAAGGAAAAAAAGAAGAAAAATCTTTTTCTTTTCTCTCTCTCTCTTTTTTTTTTTTTTTTATTGTTCCAGAAGGAGCTTAATTCCGTCGCTTCTGAGCTGTCTGCACGGCAGGAGGAGAGTGAACATTCTCATAAACATTTAATTGAACTCCGCCGGGAATTTAAGAAAAATGTACCTGAGGTATGGTATATTTGCCGTTATAGAATTAACTCAGTAGGAATGCAGATTTCTCTCCATTCAAACTATATTTTGAAAACTGTAGATGCAAGTGACTAACAAGAAAAGAAGCTAATTAGCCACAAAGAAAAATGACAGCCCCTAACCTTTCGGGGTTTCTTGGCCTAGTGGTGCTCAGCGGTGCCTACTGAAGGGAGGGCGGGGCGTTTCTCCATCAACGTCATTGTTTTTTGAGGGCGCTGTGAAACATCCATTTTCCCCCAACATTCATATCCAAGTCAGATGCCTGGCCTTGCTGGCAAAGACAATGTGCCTTAGAGTTCTTGATTTTATTTTGCTTTCCCGTTGGCGTCTGGAAGAAGACAGCCGTCGACTCTCTAACACCCTCTCGGGGCCTGCCGGCACTCATCGTCTCTGAAACTCGGCCTCTCACCCCCTTTACGTTCACCTCATTCTTCCCCTTCACCGCCTCCCTTGCAGTCCCAGCAACCAGCTATGCCTTTTCTAGCAGTCATTACAGGGAGCTTGGTGGGGGACAGAGAATGACCAGCCCCCAGCAATGTAAGGGCCCCCCAAGGAACAGACTAGAACAGACAAGTTTCTGTTATTTACCGGCCCGGATGTGTGAATTCTTTTCCATCCTCTCGCAGGCCCCCCTATTGCTTCTCAAATTACAAAACAAATGATGAGAATAAACATAAATAGAGAAAATAAAGCCCTCTGACTCTATATAAAAAGGATGTGGCACATCAGGGCTGTGACAGGGAACAGACATCAGAGATCTCTGCGGCCAGATCTCCCCAAAGCCAACTGTGTTTCATTCTGGTCGGCAGAAGGTTAACATCTGTCCTTACCTGCTCAGGTGTGCTGGAGGAAGGTGGGGCAGAGTTTAGCATTCAGATGGGAGACCCTGATTCCAGCAGTTACACTCTGCCAGTCTGATACCGAGATTGGTGGGGGGTCCTGTTGCCATCTCGCTGGTCAGGGAGGGGAACATGGGAAGACAGGGAATAGGCAGACCCAGCCAGGGATCAGGTCATATGAGCACAGAGGGGAGAAGCCTCAGGTCCACCTCAGGCTCTTAGCTGCAAAATCCATCTCACACAAGTCATAAATGTCTTTGGTTCTTCAAGGCAAGAGAAGGGACTAGGATCTAGCTAGAATTTGTCCATGGAGCAAGTCTGGAAGGAAGAGAGTGTCTACATGGAGAAGGGGCATGAATCTCAGGTCTAAAAGCCTCTCCCATGTTGTGGCTTCAGAAAAGCCAAGCCAGGCCTTTGGTTTGACTCCAAGAGCCAAGAAGGCATCAGTGATGCCGAGAACCCTTCCTTCGCCTTTTAGAACAGAGCTCAGCTTGGTCTGGAAACTCCCCAGAATGAGGTTACCTTTGACTCTCCTTTGACTCCAGGAATCAGAGCTGAATCGGCCCCACATCTTCACAGCTGCACATGCCCTCTCCCTGGTCAGCTTAGACCCTCTATCTCATCTTCCTTCTAGCCCAACTGACTTTCTTCTGAGGCCATGTGGGAGCCCCCAGGTGATGAGGGAAATCCAGGCCATGTTTTAAGCCTCTGAGTTCAGCTTACATAATTTTAATACTGCATAATTATGCAATTATGTAATTAAGAGGAATAAGTTTCCATTCCTATTATAGTCGTGCCTCTGAAAATTCTCCTTTTTGGAGCCAGTCTCTCCTGATGGAGAAAGTCACGCCGAGGCTTTATTTAAGAGCTCCTCTGGCTGGTGCCCAGCTCACCTCCTGCTCGCGCCTGTGCTCGGCGTCCCCCAGCCGTGAAGCAGATGAGGCGGCATGCTTCTAGAAATGGGCAGCATTAGCACGAAGTCCCGCCAAACCCATCCCTCCCAGAATGCTCAGATACTTGAGTGTGGGGTTTTGAAAAGGGCCTGTTTGGGGAGTCCAGTGACCTGGGCTCAAATTCTAGCTGCGCCATTCACTTGCTGTGTGACCTTGAGCAGGCTAGCCCCTCTTGGGACCTCAGTTTCCCCTTCTGTAAACTCAAGGAACTGAGAGATGGTTTCTGAGAGGTCCCATCCAGAACTAATGTTTCCTGAACATGGACCAGAGGTCTCCCGCCATCACATTTTTATTTAGTCTGTAAAGTCTTTCGAACTTTACGGTGGGTTGCCAATATTTAGCATCTCAGATGATTTCACCTAAAAACTGGATTTCCGGTGCCTTTTGAGAATATTTGGTAGATTGTGCAACCCAGAGGTTCCGTGCTCATGCTGCCGTCATAAGCTAGAGCAGAGCACGCCACCCCATCGGTGGGGGTTGCATTGTCCCAGCCTCCCTCGTAGCTGCTTCCTGCCTAGCCTGGTAGGCATTTGAGTTCACCACCTGTGACCCAGATTCTCAGAAGTTTCCTTATCCATGGCTCAGCCTCGCACCCATGGCCCCTTATGGTCAAGTCTACTAGGACTGTGTCTCCCCTGAAGGTCCCCAACATACATCAGTCTATCAATCAGTGGCTCAGGAAAGCCCTGGGGACCTAGAATCAGGGGCAGGAGCAACACAGTGTTATTTGCATAATGAAGGGGTTTATTCTTTACCTGCCCATAAGTCTTCAACCCATCTCTTCCTTTTCTGCTCTGTCTGGGGCAACCCCTCCCCACCCTATCTAGTCCCTCAGTGCCTCCCATGGGGATTACTGGTAATTGTGGCTGATTGTGATGGGGGAGTCACACCAGCAGATCTCACAGGAAACTGGAGGATTAGGGTTGGAGTCTCGGGACACATGGTTCTTAAGGTTTCCCTCTTACGTGCCGGGGAGAAGAATACATAGGAGTTTGCCAGGCTAGCCCAAGTTGCTGGGAACCTCAGGTCACTTATGAAAGCCAGGAAATTAGAGTCTGGAAATAGGAGGCTCAGGGTGGCTGTGACAAACCTCCTCTGAAGACAGCCCACGTCCATAGAGTTCCTCAGACATTTGCAGAGCTCGAATGGGGTATAAACCCAGCCTAGACTGCAGAAACTGCACGTTCTGGTGAGGAAGGAGAGTCAGTTACACAAGTGGCATTGCTAAAATGCAAAAGGCAGTCTTTGCTGGAGAGGTGGCTACAGGGTAGGGTCACGGAGACCTTGCAACCTGAAAGAGGCAGCCCCGGGCGACACCTTGAAGGGCAGAAGGTTTTTAAGGAAGGGCTTTCATGTAGTGCTGAGCATGGAGAATTGGGGTTACCTCTCCAGCCCCCACCCCACTCCAAAGTGTGACCTGGGATGGACCACCTATCTCACAAGATATTTCGCATAAAAGACCATTCTATGATCACATTCATTTGAGAAACGCCACTTCCTTTGTCTTCTGGAAATTCCCAACATGCATTATATGAAAGACTCCAGAAAGTCCTGCAGGAAAGAAACCCCTTGGACTTGACGTTTCCCAGTCTGGTGTGGCTTGGTACCCCTGTTTGCGTGTGTCCCTTGTGAAATCCAATGGAGTTCAGGCCCCACGGGACATGCTTGGGAAATGCTGAGCCAGGGACAGCAGCGAGCTACAAGCAGGGGCCACGGGGGCGTCCCACCTGGCACTGTAGTGAACTCTTTGCTGATCTCTTTTTCAGGAAATCAGAGAGATGGTGGCTCCTGTATTAAAAAGCTTCCAAGCCGAGGTAAGACCCAGGGCCCACAGCATGTCAGAAAAGTGCCCCCAATGGCTCCCCCTCCTATCCCACCTAGAGTTGCCCAGGGGGGCCAGCAGCCTCCAGAAGCTTTGGAGAAGCTTCCCTGTCCCCATTGCAAACTCTGTGCCCTTCCCTCTGGTCTCCCATCCGAATGGTATAGTAATGAGAATTGGTTCTCTGTTCATTTTGACAGAATTCAAGTCTGATCCCAAGAAATCTCCCTCTCCCTCGACTTTGCCCAGCCTTACAATGGCTCTGCTACATGTGAGATCTGTGACCTTGGGGCGTACACAGTGGCTCACACCTGTAATCCCAGTGCTTTGGGAGGCTGAAGTGGGAGGATCACTTGAGGCCAGAAGTTCAAGACCAGCCTAGGCAGCATAGCAAGACCCCCATCTCTACAAAAAAATTTAAAAATTAGCTAGTCATGGTGGCACGTGCCTGTGGTCCCAGCTACTCCGGAGGCTAAGGTGGGAGGGCTGCTTAAACCCGGCAAGTTGAGGCTGCAGTGATTCATGATCGCACCACTGCACACCAACCTGGGTGACAGAGCGAGACCCTGTCTCTAAAACAATAAAAAAATAAAATTTAAGAAAGATCTATGACCTTGAACAAACCTACCTCACCTTCCAGCCTTGGTTTCCTATTTTTAAAATCAGAGGTTGGTACTAGATGACCTTTGCCCTCTCTTGGCATTCTGCTGTCCTTTGATTCTCTGAGGCAGCCTTGCAGATAAGTCCACACAGTTACCAGCCCAACCAGAAATTCTTTGCACCAGCCCACTCTTTGAGTATAAAAGTGACATTGTCCACATTCTTTCCTGCCGACCCGCTGAGCCCTAGTTCCTTTGCTGTCCTCAGTAAATAATTTCTCTTGCTTTTTGGAAGCCCTGTGATCAGGGTGAACCCCCGCCCCACCCCGCCCATTTCTCCTCTTTGCTTGACTTCGTAACCAAGAGTCTGATAATGTCCACTTGTCTGGCTGGCACAGGAGGCAGGCCAAGAAAAGACTGGAATCATGTGGGTCCAGGGATTTCTAAAGCGTTCCATCTTGAGGGGGCTCTTCTCAGGCTTCCCTGGACTCAGGCAGGACCCCAGAAGGATTGGCCGTACTCGGATCTCACCAGAGGGGATGCATTTTAAGTCTGTCATCCACCAAGCGCCACATTACTTTAAATCTGTCTCTTTGGAACCACATAAGCACATAAGGCAATATTAAAGTAAACAATAACTGGATTTACACAAATGTCGCTGATTTCCATATTTTTCATCCTTTCATTTTATTACCTAGTTGACTGATGTGCTTATTTATTTATAGGGCCATCCAGTATTGGTTCATTTGGTTGCAAGGTGCCTGGGCTTGGAAGAAAAAAACTAGACAGACCAATAATGTTAGGAACTTTGTGTTCCTATATAATGTCATGACTTTGTGTTACAAAAAAAAAAAAAAATAGAGGTTCCCATCTACCAACTCCTAGTCCCAGGAGAGCTGCTCAGCACACAAGCTCCCTATAGCAGCTGATCCCTCTGCCCAATCCAAAGACAGGCATTCAGCTGTTTGTAGAGAGCATCACTTTCTCAGCTGTTTCCTTGCTTGAGTTGGTGTGAACAGAGCATCCCTTGGCCTCTTAGAGCCTCAGTTTTCCCTATCTGTTAAATGGGAGTATAAAGACACTGACAAGTCTTTTCATGTTGTTTTGAGGATTAACTGAGATCTAATGCAGGGAAAGGGTTTAATGTAATGTCTGACACACGAAGAGCTGTTAGCGGGTGAAGAGTACAGATGCTGGAGCCAGCCTGGGTTGGAATCCCACCTCTCCCACTTACTAGCTGTGTGATCTGAGGTGAGCTACTTAACCTCTCTGTGCCTCCATTTCCTCATCTGTAAAATGGAATAATAATTATACATATTTGAGGCCCGGCAGTGGCTCACCCCTGTAATCCCAGCACTTTGGGAGGCCGAGGAGGGTGGATCACTTCAGGTCAGGAGTTCGAGACCAGCCTGGCCAACATAGTGAAACCCCAACTCTATTAAAAATACAAAAATTAGCCAGGTGTGGTAGTGGGCACCTGTAATTCCAATTACTCAGGAGTCTGAGGCAGGAGAATCACTTGAACCCAGGAGGCGGAGGTTGCAGTGAGCCAAGATCACGCCACTGCATTCCAGCCTGGACGACAGAGCAAGACTCTGTCTCAAAAAAAAAAAAAAATTATGCATATTTCACAGGGTGAGATTGAGGAAGAACAAAGTTAACACTGATGAAGTGCTTAAAATACTGCCTTGCATATGAGAAGTCTTGGATATTTTATTCCTATGAGCAGTGACCTCCAGTACAGGTTTACTGGGTCTCTAGTATGGCTGAGCTGCCATCTGCCACTTTCCTAACTAGGTGTTGAAGGCTTTTTATCTCAAAGATGGGTTTCAGGGTTTTTTTTCCTGTAGGAAGTGGGTATGACTTATGTTATCTTTTCAATAGGAGAAATCCTAGGTTTGGGTGATGTTCGGGAGAAGACCTGACTGAAGCATGGTAGAAAATACATGCAAATCTGACTCAGGCCTGGTCAAAACCTCAACTCTGCTCCTAAACCAGCTGTGTGGCCTTGGGGAAATTCCTTAACCTCTCTGAACTTCAGCTTTCCTCCTCTGGCAAATAAGGCTAACAATAAGGATTCAGAAGCCAGGTGCAGTCACTCATGCCTGTAATCTCAGCACTTTGGGAGGCTAAGGTAGGAGGATCACTTGGGGCCAGGAGTTTGAGACCAGCCTGGGCAATATAATGAGACCTCATCTCTGCAAAAAAAAAAAAAAAAAAAAAAAAAAAAAAAAAAAAATTTAAATGAGCTGGGCATGGTGGCTTGTGCCTGTAGTCCCAGCTACTCAGGAGGCTGAGGTGGGAGGATCACTTGAGCCCAGGAGTTCAAGGCTGTAGTGAGCTATGATTATACCATTTCTTTCTAGTATGGGCAACAGAGCGAGACCTGGTCTCTTAAAAAAAAAAAAAAAAAAAAAAAAGGAAAAAGGATTCAAACACTTCAGCAGCATGGAGGCAGTCCCAGGGTCTGGCACACCGTTGGTGCTCAGTAAATACTAGGACAGAGAAAGTCTTAGGCCAAAAGGAAAGACAAAGCAGAATTCTCATTTTCAAAACCCATGTGGCATATTGAATAGATGCTGCTTTAATAGCTGGAGACCTTAAAGAACTTTGTTAATTTTCTTAAGAGGGCTTTCCATCGTCCCTTTAATGTACCAAGAAGACTACATTTGTCTGGAATTTTATTCCCGAAACCCCTGCTTTTCTCGTGATCTATTGACTAAGCCATTGTGGCCTCTGTGTCCTCCTTGTGCCTCAGGGGAGAGACGCTGCCAAAGGAAGGTGTTAATAAAAAGCATCTTCTTCGTCCAGAAAAAGCTGCACATGCACAGGCCATTTATAATCCAAATTTGATTTTCATTTTAATTTTTTTAATGAGGCCTCATCCTTTATGCCGCTGTCCTCTTGCAATCCACCAGGCTCTGGGCTGGCACTGCGATTCCCAAGTGGGTATTAATCACCTCCTGGAAATATTCCCTGGAGCAAATACCATCCCAAGTCACATAAACTAGCCCATAAAACGCCAGGGCAGAATATCATGCCCGTCATTCCTTCTTCCCAGTGCAGGCCTTTCCTTGAAATATACCATGTTCAGTTTCATGGTAAGTACCATGAAATATACCATGTTCAATAAAATATACCATGTTATTCCTGAATTTTGCTTCACCAGCCCTGGTGTGTTCAGAATCTGGGCATACTTCTTATCTTTTTATATTATATATGTGTGGGTCTCTTTTCTTTCTTTCTGTGTGTGTGTGTGTTTGTGTGTGTGCGTGCCGGTGGGAGGGGGTGGAGAGGAAGTGAATTTGCCCTGCTGTGAATCAAGGAAGCTTCTCTGTCTGCCTTGATTGCTTAAAGGACAGTTTAGATTTCTCCTGTTCAGGGAAACAAAGACAGCCAGAGAAGGTGGCTTAATGGAGACAGCTTGAAATGGCCAAAGTTTGAATATCCTTGCGTACAGAGAAAAGAGCAAGACGAAAGCCTCGCTAATTATAAAAGTTGCTTTATGAAAGATAATTCAAAGCAATAATTTAGCAAACATAATCAAGTCGCACAGATGGGGTTGTTGATGGATGGATTGCAACATGCAATTAGCAGTTCTCGCAGTTACATATCATTAACCCTCCGAGCACAAAAATTATTTTCTCATTATTAGTTGAAAAGGTAAAATTAAGCTGACTAGACAGTAAAGGAACAAACTACAATTAATTACCTTCATTTATTACAGTCATTATTTTAAACTTATTTTTACTTGGAGGGAGACATGAAAACATCTAAATTAAAAGTTTTGTTATGCTAACTCGGAGGTGAAACTTTTCTGAAGCGCGTGTGCACTGTCCCAGCTTGAAAGACCACAGGGCCACTGTTGGGAGATTTTCTTTTTCTCTGCCGCCTTTTTCTTCCACCATAAAGGGGATGTGGCCTGTATGGTGGAAAACCTTTTGGGTTGGATTGGAACAGAGACATTCACCTGGGCCTGATTGAAACACAGTAGTTTGGAGACCAAGTGGGCTGACCTGGCCTCTGACACCCAGGAGAGGTTAGACACCTGTGGTCTGAGCCCCACCCTCACACTGACAAGCTTATGTGACCTTGGCGAGTGACTTTATGTCTCTGAGCCACTGTTTCCTCATCTGTAAATAGGGTCAGCTCATAGGATTGCATGAGATTCAGTGACATTCTGTGTGTCAAGTGGCCAGTGAGTCACTTGTTGTCACCATGGTGGGCGTGCATGGTTGTGTGGGACTGAGAACGTTCTCCCTCTAATCACTCAGGGTCTGGGGGAATTCGTGTGGCATGATCACCTTCTAGGAGCTTAGAGAAGGGGGTAAAGATGCATTAGATCATCACTTGAGCCCATGTAATCATTTAGTCACCTCAACAAGCATTTATTGAATAGCTGCTGCATACTAGGCAGGGTTCCAGATGCTGGCCCAGTGATGGTCACAACCCAGTGGTCACCTCGCCTCCTTTTGGTATGAGGGAGAGCAAGCATTTTTGCAGTACCCGGAAGAAGGACTTCCCAAAGGAGACAAGGCCACCCTTCTATTGGCAGCGTGCAGGTCCGCTCAACAGATCCTTGTGGAGAACCTTCTATGTCCCAGGCTCTGTGTGAGGACTGTTGCAGATCCAAAGATGGTGAGACACCATCCCTGCCCTCAAGGATGTCCCTAGGATTCCGCATGGAATCCTTTAAAGAAAGAAAAAGAAAAAATGTCTGTAGGAGCCAAGTCCCTGTGATTCTGAAATAATGTCCAGAAGCCCAAGGGAGGCCGTCGGTTCCATCCCAGAGGTTCTATTTGTTTGCTGCGCTTCACATTGACACCCTGCCCCGATGACAGCCACGGCAGTATCTCCATCCCATGCACATCTGCCGTGTGTCCCTGCATTCCCCTGCCAAGAGATGGAGTCTGTGTCTCCATCCTTTGAATCTGGGCCTGTGCCTACTTTGACCAGTAGAACATGGTGGAGGTGACACTGTGCCATGATCCAGCATAGCCTTTAGCCTACCTGCTGGCTCTCCCCACCACATCTCTCCAAACCCATCCTTTATGTGAGAAGTGTGACTACCTGGAGACCACCCTGCATGGAGAGGTTCTGGGGGATAAGACAGCACATGGCGGAGAGGCCAGGAGTGCTGAGGTACCAGACTGGAGTCAGGGGCCATGGTGGACATCCAACCCAGTCAAGCCGTCAGATGACTGCAGCCCCAACTGCCATCTGACTGTGAACACCTGGTTCATTCGCACCTCAGGGTGTCAGTGCTTGCCATGCCCTCTGCCTGAAATTCTCTTCCCTGCACCATCTCTTTGCTGGATGAACTCCTTTCAAATGTCAGGTCCTGGGGGAGTAGGGAACCCTCCCTGACCACCCTGACCCTCCATCAACCCTGGAGCCCCTGGCATTCACTGGTGCTTAGCATCATCTGTCTTTATGCATCTGCCTAAAGCTAATGGCTTGAGACTACTGTAAGGACTTTGACTGCAACTCTGAATAAGGTGGGAGTCATGGGAGGCTTTAGAGCAGAGGAGGGACCAGCTCTGACTCAGATTTTAACAGGATCCCTCTGGCCACTAATCTGATAACATGGGGGCCCTGGTCTCTCAGAGATGACCGAGAGGACAGACCATTCCCCCGTCCTCCCTGCCCCAGGCCCAGATGCTTTCTGAGACACTGAGATTTTTCTGATTCTCCCACCAAGACAATCGTCGGTGGGGAAGGGTAGTCCTAACCTTGGAGAAGACCTTTCTAGTGGGTCACTTCCTGTGCTTGCAGCCAGGCTTCCTGAGAGGGGAGTGGAGGGTTTCCTCACAGTTGAGATCACCCAAGATGTGCACATCCCTCCCTGCTCTGGCCCCGAGCCCCCACCCAGCCCCATGTGCTGCGTCCTTCTTTGGTTCCTGTGCCCCCCTTCTGCTCCGTGTCTGCCTGCAAACTCTTGCTCTTCCGTTTGAGCTGAAATTTAATTACAGGGCTTTTTTTTTTTTTTTTTTTTTGCCTTTTAACGTTATTTGCTCTTCCAGCTGTCTTTGATGGCATAATTCTCTCACTCCCTAAACTACCCTTTTCCCTGGCACTCCTGGCACTGGTATGACTATCCCTTTGTAAACAGGGCCCCCTTAGAACCACAACAGATGTTAGATGCGTGCAGTTCTGACAGCAGGGGAGGGCAGGGAGCAGGGGAGGCCAGGGAGCAGTGGCCTTGCTGGCCGGTGAGGCCACCCTGGGGGATGAGCAGTAGGGGCAACTGTGGGTTTTAGGGCCAAATTGGCTCAGGCTTACATTTTAGATCGTCTGTTTCCTGGCTGTGTGACCTTGGGCAAGGCACATAACCTCTCTGGGTTTCACTTTCCTCTGCTTTTACTTTTCTTTTTTTTAATTTTTGAGACAGAGTTGCTCTGTTTCCCAGGCTGGAGTGCATTGGTGCATTCGCAGCTCACTGCAACCTCCGCCTCCCAGGCTCAAGTGATCCTCCCACCTCAGCCTCCCGAGTAGCTGGGACTATAGGCGCACAACACCACACCCAGCTAATTTTTGTAGTTTTTGTAGAGATGGGGTTTCACCATGTGGCCTGGGCTGGTCCTCTGTTTTTAAATGGTGGTAATAGTACCCACTTCATAGGAGTGATGGGAGTCCTCAATGAGTTGATACTTGAAAAGCCCCAAGAACAAAGCCCACCACATGGTGAGTGTTCAGTGAGCATGAGTTGGCATTCCCAGCAGGTGAGCTGAAACTGAGCACATCATGTTTATCCCTCCCATGAGCCCCATGATGAAGTTTCTGCTCCTACCCATTGCTCAGGTGAGGTGACTGAGGCTCAGCCCGCAGCCCCTGATGGTGAGTGGGAACTCGGGCAGGGACATCAGCTGGCAAGGTTTATCCATCACTTAGCGGGATGCCTGTTGTGTCACCTCCTCTCAGCAACGCAGCCAGGAAGGCACAGCTGGTATTGTCCCCTTTTATAGGTGTAAAACTGGGGCTCAGAGAGGTCAAGTGACTTGCCTGAGCTCACACAGCGGTTCATCAGCTGAACAGAGAGCAGAAGATGCAAACCTCAGCTTGGAGGGCCAAACGGGCCCCTTGAGGGGTCTGGGGGTGCAGAAGGAGCTGAGGATGGTGATTCTAGATTTAGGGACCCAGCTGGAGATCTGCAGGTGGTTAGGGCCAGAAAGGAGCTCATCACTCAGCCAGGCCCATGCCTTTTAGATGTTTCTTTGCTGAACTGTTCTTTCAGGCAGAATCTGCCAGGAAAGCCCGCCGCATACAAAGAGCTGTGATTCGAGCCCAAGTCTGTGTATCCAGCCCAGAACTTGGTACATAATAAGTGCTCAATAAACAAGAGTGTTGCTTGCAGCTCACGTCAGATATAATGAGAAGAAGGCCTCCCATCCTCTCTACTGCCCCCGACATGCACATGTGCACACACATGACCCACCCTTTTTCCGCTGCCGGAGTGCAGCAGCGCAATCTCAGCTCACTGCAACCTCCGCCTCCCGGGTTCAAGCAATTCTGGTGCCTCAGTCTCCCAAGCAGCTGGGACTACAGGCGTGCGCCACCACACCCAGCTAATTTTTGTATTTTTTGTAGAGACTTGGTTTCACCATGTTGGCCAGGCTGGTCTCGAGCTCCTAGCCTCAAGTGATCCTCCTGCCTCGGCCTCCCAAAGTGCTGGGATTACAGGCGTGAGCCATCACACCTGGCCTTCCCATCCTCCCTCCTCTTTGATAACAGAATTCCTTTGATGGTGCATGCTCCTTGGCTGCCCATAACCAAGTCTTGCCCCTCTGGAAGTCTGCCCTGCCCAGCTTGGGGTAAAACTTAACGATGAACTGAATGAACATCCTTCCGAATTTAATATTAAGAACCCACCAAAGCATTATTGAACCTGTCACGCCATATTACAACCAAATTAAGAACCAGCAGCAATCCTCTTTCATTCAGTATTATATGCCTTATAAAGTAAATTATTAATGCTTTTTTCCCCCCAGTTAAGTAGTTATTTGCAGTTGTTCCGGGTATTTCTCATTAGAAATAACATCATCTAAAGAACGATATTGACTGATTTTTTTAATCTTGGAGTCATGGACGTGAACCACATATTTATATGACATTCCCTTTAACTAGAATTCTCGCGCTTTATTTTTATATTATTGATCTTTTTGACACGAATTGCTTTTTGGCCTTGTGCGAATGTTGTAAGCTTTCCGCCTGCAGAGGAATGGGCTGGCGTCTGGGCCGGGCTGGGAAGAGTGATCGCTCCAGCCGCGTGGCAGTAACATTCCCGCACATTTAACAACAATTAGTCTGTGCCGACGCCATGGTAGGCTTTCGTGTATGAAAATTTACAAGGCTTTTAATGGACTGCATTATGGAAGGCCGTGCGGGGCCAGTCGGTGGGGAGATAAGGCCGCTGGGCGTGCATCCATCTCATGGCTCAGTCGGCCCAGTGTCTCTCAGTGCTCACGTCTGCCTCCTGGGAGGTGGGAGACACAAGATGGAAGCTACCGCAACAGCCCCACCGACACCAGCATAGGTCTTGTAGCCACTCTTGCAGTCCTGCATTTATCTGGTCAGTAGATGTTTGTTGAGCACCTACTAGGTGCCAGGTGTGGCGCTAGATGCAGGGGCTGAGGTGGTGAACATTACTATTTACTCATGCGTTCAGGAAGGATTTGAGTACCGACTGGGTGTCAGGAGCGGCACTGAATTCCGGGGGTGAAAGGGTGAGTGCAAATTCCTCATTCATCTGGAGCCTGTGGCAGTGGAGAAGTGACTTAAGCCTAGAGTCGCCTGGAGCTGGGTTCAAATCGCAGCTCGTTGCCCATTGCCAGGTTCTTCAGTGAACCTCAGTTTCCTTGTCTGTAAAATGGGGACCTACCTCCTAGGGAGGCTGGCAGGATTCGGTGCAGATCAAGAACTTGATGCAGAGTAAAGAGGATCGTGGTGATTCAGTGTTGCTACCAGCTGAGCTCTGGACACTCTCTCTGTTCTCTCCAAAACCTAAGGTTCCAGGCGTACATCCCGCCTTCCCATTGGGCTGCAGTCCTCATAGCTTCTGGGGTTGGGGCAGCCTTGTGTCCCCCTCCTGCGCACTCTGGCTTTCTCCTATATTTTCTTGTTGGAAAACCAGCCAGGGCAGCCAGCTGGGGGCAGGGAGTGATGGAGGCTCCCCTAGAGGGCACACCCCCACCCCAGGGGCCAGCCCTCTTCTCCCCAAGTGCCCTCACCCCTCCAACCAGCTCCCCTAGAGCACACCCCTGCCTCCCTCCAGAGACCTTTATTTCGCAGCATGTATTTGGCACCTGTTGTATACAAGGGTGAGTGCCAGCCTTCAGGGATGTGGCAACAGGTGGCCCCAGATACCTTTCCTGTCCTCACAGCACACATGGCCTCATGGGAGAGACAGATGGACCCACACACCCCTACACAGCGCCAGCGGCAATCACGTTACGGTTGAGTTTCACAAGGTCAGGATATGGGGATGGGAGAGAGTCACCAGCCCACCCATTCCTTCATTGAGAAATGCTTTCTGGAGCCCCACTATATGCAGACCCTGTGCAGTGCCCTGGGGATAGGCAGGGAACAAGACACATGCTCCTGTCTCTAAGCTAAAAGTACAGTGAGGGACATGCATACTTACATCATGCACAGGAGTTACCTCAAAGATAGTATAGCACAGTGGTTAGGAGTGTGGTTCTGGAACCAGACTGCCTGGGTTCAACTCCCCATTTTGCTACTTATTATAGTCATCCCTCAGTATATGCAGGGGATTGGTTCCAGGACCTGCCCCATACCCAAAACCATGCAAGTCCCCCTGCATATAGGAAAATCCGGCTCTGCATATATGCAGGTTTCACATCCAGTGAAAACTATGGTGTGTGTGTGTGTGTATAATTTCCTGAGACAGAGTCCCGCTCTGTCTCCCAGGTTGGAGTGCATTGTTGCAATCTCGGCTCACTGCAACCTCCACCTCCCAGGTTAAAGCGATTCTCCTGCCTCAGCCTCCTGAGTAGCTGGGATTACAGGCCCGTGCCACCATGCCTGGTTAATTTTTTTATTTTTAGTAGAGACAGGGCTTCACTATGTTGACCAGGCTGGTCTCGAACTCCTGACCTCAGGTGATCCACTTGCCTCGGCCTCCCCAAGTGCTAGGATTACAGGTGTGAGCCACTGTGCCAGGCCTTAAAAACTATGTTTTTTATTGCATTTGGTTGAAAAAAAAATTCTGTGTGTCAGCAGACCCGCACAGTTCAAACTTACGCTGTTCAAGGGTCAACTGTAATCTGTGACTGGGGCACTTTTCTTTTTTTCTGTGCCTTGATGTCTTCATCTATAAAATGGGACTCATCGTCATCTGTAAAATGGTCCTTGCAAGCCACTGCAGGCTGACCCCAGTAAACCACCATAGACAATCTTTGTACCAAGTGAGAACAGAGGTACAAATGGCACTTCATCTTATAGGTGAAGGTGAAGATCAGATGAGGTAATAGATATAAAGGCGTAGAACAGTGCCTGGTGCAGAGAAAGCTTAGATCAGTGTCAGAGGCTGCGATTACCATGATTATTACAATTAAGATGATTATGACTCTAAAATAATCCCCCGGTGTATTAACTAATTGTGGAGGTGCCGAATGCTGCCTCCACAAAGGCAAAGTACAGTTGCACCCAGAAAGGCCCCCACTCTTGGCCTAGCTCAGAGGCAGAGGGGCTGGACTGCGTGACCCCCTAGGGTCATTGCCAGAATGGGGCTCCTGAAGCAACACCCCCAAATTTAGATACAGGAGAAGGAATCTTTCTAGATGTGGGTGTCCTCTCTGAGGTGGGCCCTGCAGGAGGCCTTCAGACATCCAATATCAGTCAAACCTCCCAGATGCCCTGAGCAGCAGGAATCAGGCCCAGAGAGGGTGAGAAACCCATCTTAGGTCACACAGCCAGGAGAAAGATGGGCCCAGGTCAGGTCACTTTCCCTCTAGCCTGTCTCCTGTTCCATAAAATGGGTTCTTGTAACATCCACCTTGTTTATCCTGGGGGGATGGGTGAAGAACCAATGTGATCACCCAGTTGAAAGAAATTTGCCTGGCTGGGTATGGTGGCTCACACCTGTAAGCCCAGCACTTTGGGAGGCTGAGGTGGAAGGATTGTTTGAGCTCAGGAGGTCAAGACCAGGCTTGGTCTCTACAAAAAAAAAAGTTTTTTTGGCCAAGCACAGTGGCTCACGCTTATAATCCTAACACTTTCAGAGGCCAAGGCAGGCCAATTGCTTGGGCTCAGGAGTTCAAGACCAGCCTGGGTAATATAGTGAAACCCCATCTCTACAAAAAAGTTAGCGAAGCGTGGTGGTGCACGCCTGTAGTCCCAGGTACTAGGGGGCCTGAAGTGGGAGGACTGCATGAGCCCAGGAGGTCGAGGCTGCAGTGAACTGAGATCGTGCCACTGCACTCCAGCCTGGATGACAAAGTGAGACCCTGTCTCAAAAAAAAAAAAAAAAAAATTTCCAGCTACTCCAAAGGCTGAGATGGGAGGATTGCTTGAGACCAGCAGGTCGAGGCTGCAACAGTGAGCCATTATCATGCCACTGTACTTCAGCCTGGGTGACAGAGCAAGACCCTATCTCAAAAAGAGAGACAGAGAAGGAGGGAGGGAAGGAAGCAGGAGAGGGGGGGAGGGGAGGAACGGGGAGGGGAGGAATGGGGAGAGGGAAGAGGTGAAAGGAAAAAGAGATTTGCCAACCAAAGTGGGACTCACAGGTGAGTTCCAGAGCTGAGTGTGAGGCTGCCTGTGTGCTGCCTACAGCGGTGTCTTTCTCTAGAATCTTTCACTATTCAGTGTGGTCACCAGGCCAGCAGCATCCACATCACCTGGAAGTACCTTAGAAGTGCAGTCTCCATCCCCCACCTCCATGTCCCAGACCTCTAAAACCAAGATCTGCAGTTTAACAAGGTCCCCTGGTGATTATGGGCACATGAAAGTTTGAGACACTCGACCTCAGAGCCCACTGGCTTCCGACCCTGGCTGCCCAGTGGAATCCCCTGCAAGCTTTAAAAAATACTAAGACCTGGGTCCCAGCTCACAGTGGCTGGTGTTCTTGGTCTAGCATGAGGCTTGAGTGTCAGGATTGTAAAAGATTCTGGTGATTCACATGTTTGAGAGCCCCTGCCCTGAAACTCACCATCTAGCGGAAGAGACAGACCTGTGGAAATAACCAGGGCTGTGCTGGTAAATGCTGAACAACTAGCTGGCTGGGAGGAGCCCTGATCTGTAGCATCTGCTCATTTCTGTGGTGTAAATATTCCCACCGTGGCCAATTTCAAGCTGCAAACATGATGTCGTTGACAGGGGGCTGGGAAGAGATGTGCAGAACATTATAGAGTGTTTCCAGCACACACACAGTAGATGGAAAAAACCTCAGAGCACAGACAGCAGTGGAATGTAGTCAAATAATTAGGAAGTCATGAGCATTGAGTATGTATTGCCTTTTTTTCAAATTTTGTATTCTGGTAAAATACACGTAACATAAAATTTACCGTCTTAACCATTTTTAAGTGTACAGTTCAATGAGTTAAGTACACTCGCCCTGTTGTGCAACCAACACCACCATCCATCTCCAGAACTCTTTTTATCTTGCAAAACTGAAACTTCCACCCATTGAATACTAATTCCCCCCATTCCTCTCCCCCAGCCCCTGGCACCCACCATTCTACCTTCTGTCCCTATGCATTTGACTACTCCAGGGACCTCCTATAAGTGGCACCATACAGTATTTGTCCTTTCGTGACTGGCTTATTTGGCTGAGCTTAATGTCCTCAAGGTTCACACATGTGGTATTACATTTATGTTTAACAAAATTTGTTTAGTTGTAGGTTTATATGATTTAATTTTGTGGCTGTGTTTAACAACCAGATTGCAAAATTTCTGAAAATGTAAAATTGCTTTGTAAGCCACTGCAGGCTGACCCCAGTAAACTACCACAGACAATCCTTGTAACAAGTGAGAACAGAGGTGCAATTGCATGCTTTAGGTCAGAAGTCAGCAGACTGTGGCCATTGGGCTAAAGCCTATCTTTGTAAATAAAGTTTTATTAGAACACAGTCCATTTGTATCCATGGGTTCCATGAACTCAACCAGCCTCAGATCAGCAATATTTTTTAAACCACTAAAAAATAATAGTACAACAATTAAAAATAATATAAATTTTAAAAATACAGTATAACAGCTATTTATATAACATTTACATTTTATTAGGAATCATAAGTCATCTAGAGATGATTTAAAGTATACAGGAGGGGCCAGGTGCAGTGGCTCATGCCTGTAATCCCAGCACTTTGGGAGGCTGGGGCAGGTAGATCATGAAGTCAAGAGATCATGACCAACCTGGCCAACATGGTGAAACCCTGTCTCTACTAAAAATACAGAAATTAGCTGGGTGTGGTGGTGCGCCCCTGTAGTCTCAACTACTCGAGAGGCTGAGGCAGGAGAATTGCTTGAACCTTTGTAAAAGAACACAATATTCTCAGGATTCTCCAGAATATTCAACAACAGCCCAGATGTCAGATAACCAGCCCTGAGTATGACACTCAATCAGTGTCATACAGAGGCAGAGGTTGCAGTGAGCCGAGATCGCGCCACTGCACTCCAGCCTGGTGACAGAGTGAGACTCCATCTGAAAAAAAAATATATATATATATACAGGAGGGTTGGGCACAATGGTTCACACCTGTAATCCCAGCAGTTTGGGAGGCTGAGGCAGGAGGATTGCTTGAGACCAGCATGGGCAACATAGTGATACCCCTTCTCTACAAAAATTTTTTAAAAATTAGCTGGGCGTGGTGGTGCACACCTGTAGTCCCAGCAACTCAGGAGGCTGAGGTGAGAAGATTGCTTGAGCCCAGGAGTTTGAAGCTACAGTGAGCTGTGACAACCACTGTACTCCAGTCTGGGCAACAGAACAAAACCTTGTCTCAAAAAATAAAATAAAATATAAATAAAAGTATACAGGAGGATGTGCGTAGATTATATGCAAACAATACACCATTTTGTATAAAGGATTTGAGCATCGGAGGATTTTGGTATCCTCAGGGTGTCCTGAAATCAATTCCCCATGGATACTGAGGTACGGCTGTTGATAGCTCAGAACCTATCTAGCCCACAAAGATGAATATATCTGACCCCTTACAGGGAAAGTTTGCCAGCCCCTGCTTTTAGGTGTGGAGGGAATGGGAGAAATTTAATCACCTTATTCATTCACATATTCATTCATTCATTTCCTTAGCAAATATTTACAGAGCACCTACTGCCAGGCACTGCTATAGACACAGAAGCAAATAAGACAAAGACGAGTCCCTCACAGAGCTGACCCTTTCGCGGGAAGACAGTTGTAATTCAGACACTCGCACATCAAGTAAATATATAATTCCAACTGTACCAGGGACCTTCCTGGGGCTATGAGAGCATCCTGGGATGTCAAGGAGGGCTTCCAGGAGGAAGTGACCTGTGTATGAATTGAAGCAAGAGTAGGGACATTCTAGTCACAGGAAGAGAGGAACGGCATGCCAGGTAAAAGGAATAGCAGGTACAAATGCCCCAAGGCAGGAGGCAAGTGGGAATTGCAGGGCCTGAAAGCCAATGAGAGGTGGTCTGAGCTCCCAGGTCTGCTCCTGTGCCCTGGCCCCCAGTCTCTCCATATCTGCTCTGCCAAGCACAGCATCATCTTGAGCCAGGTGTCTCTGGCTCGCTGGCCACCATTGCCTCCCTACCCTTGCAGACCGCCTCTTAAATTCTGTTTATTCTCCCTCCTGGCCCTGGAGTCCACACTGCAACAGACAAAGGTTCTTATTTATTTCATTCCTGAGGTTTATAAACTCCTGCCCTATAATAAAATCACTCTCACCACAAGCACAAAATAATAACACTTAATTAAAATACATAAAACCAAAGACTGGCAGAATCCAGTGAAGATTAAAATCAACTGAATCCTACGGCCCAGAACTGAGCAGAGGTCCTGCCCTGAGACCCAGGGACTGAGACACAGAGATGGGGTGAGGGAGATGGGAGGGGGCGGGGGAGCAAGGGGAGTTCCTATTTCTTGAGCACTGATTGAGTGTCATACTCAGGGCTGGTTATCCGACATCTGGGCTGTTGTGGAATATTCTGGAGAATCCTGAGAACATTGTGTTTCTTTTACAAAGGGGAAACTGATACTCTGATTGAGACACCAAGATCACATACTGAGAAGTTGAAGAGCTAGAATTTGAACCCAGGCCTGTCTGCATTAGTCAAAATGGGCTCGTTTCTGTTGTAACAACTTCAAACACAGATGAGGTTACATCACAGTCTAGCGCTGGTTGATAGAAGTTGTGGTGGGGGAGGCTCTGATCCATGCAGTCATTCAGGGATCCAGGCGTCTACCATCATCTGGTAGGTGGGAAAAGAGGAAAACATGATGGCCCTCCTAGGAGGTTCTCAGGGACCAAAACTGGAAGTGGTCACATCATTTCTGCCCACATTCATTTGTCCAGAACTCTGTTACAAAACCATACCCAATTTCAAGGCTATAGTCTAACATTATATGCCCAAGAGTGGGTAAAAAAACAGAATTAAGTTAGCACATAACCCTGTCTGCTGCCCTGTGGACTCCCTCACAGATAGAGCACCTCACTCACTGTCAGGGAATAGGACAGAGCCCTGAATACACAGCCTTGCACACAGTGGTACATTTTGGACAGGTGAATGGGAATGAAACCCAAGAGGCCTGCCAAATTCAGGGAGCAGCAAAGCAGGAGCAAGGAGGGACTGTTAACAATTTGGCAGATGTTATAAAGCTCCTACTATGCATTCTTCCCTGTGCTGAGCTGGCTAGAGAAAGAGATGAACTCTGTTCAGCAAGGAGGCTGAGCCACCATTGGGATCCCATGCCCAAGGTCCACTTAAAAAAAAGCCAGTGTGCAGTAGGAACAAATGTCCCAGGTGTACCAATGAGAGTGGTTATTTTTTGGGCAGGCAATCAGAGAAGACTTCTGGAGGAAGTGAGGTCCCAGCTGAGATTAGGAAGATTGGGCAGGATGGAACATGGGGAATGAAGAGTGGTGGTGAGCACAGGTCTTGGCATCAGGCAGACCTGGGTTCAAGACCAGTTTGAACACCGGTGAGGTGATCTGAGGCAAGCCACTTCCCCTTTCTTTTTTTTTTTTTTTTTTCTGAGACAGAGTCTCCCTCTGTCACCCAGGCTAGAGTGCAGTGGCGTGATCTCAGCTTACTGCAACCTCTGCCTCCCAGGCTCAAACAGTCCTCCCACCTTAGCCTCCCGAGTAGCTGGGACTACAGGCACACACCACCACGCCCAGCTAATTTTTGTATTTTTAGTAAAGATGGGGTTTGGCCATTTTGGCCAGGCTGGTCTGGAACTCCTGACCTCAAGTGATGCCCCCATCTCAGCCTCCCAAAGTGCTGGAATTACAGGCATGAGCCACTGTCCCCAGCCCACTTCCTCTCTTTCTGACCCTCAGTTTTCTCATCAATAAAACGGTACCTAGTACATAGGTTTGTCAAGAGGTTGAGTGAGCTGGTAATGCATATCAAGTGTTCAGCATGATACTAGCACAAAGAAAGCTTAAAATGAATAATTATTCCCGGATGGCTATTTAGTGAGCAGTGCTGGGAGGCGGGGCTGGGGGAGAGGACAAGGCCAGGAAACACACATGGGCAGGACACCAGGGTCCTGAATGCCAAGTTAAGTCTGCAGTTTGTCTGTGGGCAGAGGGAGGTACCACAGAAGCTTTTTGGATATATAAGGAAGGATGACCGGAAACCAAGTTCCAGAAAGATCTCTCTGGAGGTGTACAGGCAGGAGGGGGCTGACTCAGAGTTGGGTTGTGCTTTGGAGCACTTAAGAATGAGACGAGCGGCCAGGCACAGTGGCTCATGCCTGTAATCCCAGCACTTTGGGAGGCTGAGGCTGGTGGATCATGAGGTCGGGAGTTCGAGACCAGCCTGATCAACATGGTAAAACCCCATCTGTACTAAAAATACAAAAATTAGCCAGGCATGGTGGTATGTGCCTGTAATCCCAGCTACTCAGGAGGCTGAGGCAGGAGAATTGCTTGAACTCTGGAGGCAGAGATTGCAGTGAGCTGAGATCGCGCCACTGCACTCTAGCCCAGGCAACAGAGTAAGACTCCATCTCAAAAAAAAAAAAGAATGAGGTGAGCACTAATGATAACCTGGCCTGGGACAGCGACAGAGGAGCAGCAAAGTGGAGACAGGTTTGAAAGAGTTGGGAAGTGGGGATCCAGGTTGATGTGGCAGGTGGAGACAGAGGGTCTGGGGCTCAGGTTTTGGGGGCCAGTGGGACATGACACCATTAGCAGAAGAGGACCTGGCTTCAGGGAAACAAGCCCCTTTGTTGGATACCCAACCTGTGAGATTCAGTCTGGGAATCCTCCAGGAGCCAGTGGGACCTGGCACGGCCCCAGGTCTGCCTCTCGTCAGCCATATGACCTTAGGCAAGTCATCTCCCCTCCTTGAGCCTCATCTTTCCTATCTGGAAAAGGGGGGATAGTATTTGTCCTTCCCTGATAGGGTTGTTGTTGGAGGATTCCATGACACTATGCCTAGCACATAGTAGATGCTCAAGAAATGATCCTTGTTATCACCATCATTTTTCCCATTGAGACCAAACACTGGGCTAAGAAAGGGCTCGTGCTGAACCAACAGATTCCTCAAACACGCTGCAGACCAAGAATACTGTTCCTAGGAACATCAGTAGCCACAGCAGCCAGATCTCCTGGGTCTCAGTATATATCAGGCTCTCTGCTAAGCTTGCTACACATACTGACTTTAGAAATCATTGTCACAAGCCCCTGGGATAGGGGTTATTATTATGCCTGTTGTAGAGATGAGTGACTGAGGCGTAAAGACCAGGCAGGTAGGAGATGGGACGATCAGCGCAGGGGCCTCAGTTACACAGAGCAGATCTGCTTGCAAGGTGGATAATCATGCTCAGGTCACATGGAGTGTCAGGTCCAGCTCTGAACCCCGTGCCCTGGGGTGAGACAGGGAGAGAGAGAGTCTACAGGAGGCTTCAGGACCACAGGCTGAGGCCTGATTGGCACTGGTTCAAGAGAAATGCCCAGAAGACAAGAAAAAGAAATAAATAATACATCGAGAGGCAATAGGAATTTTATGTTCAATATAATAGGGGGAGACCTGGGTTCAAACTCTGCCACTGCACTAGCAGCTTTGAGTTATCAATCTGCGTTTTAGTATTCTTTTCCATGAGGATTTCAAAAATAATTGTCTGAGAAATGTTGCCTCCTAAAAGCGGCAAAAGCGGCTGGGTGCAGTGGCTCATGCCTGTTATCCAGCACTTTGGGAGGCCAAGGCAGGCAGATCACTTGAGTCCAGGAGTTTGAGACCAGCCTTGGCAACATGATGAGACCTCATCTCTACAAAAAATACAAAAATTAGTTGGGTGTGGTGACATGTGCCTGTAGTCCTAGCTACTTGGGAGGCTGAGGTAGGAGGATCGCTTGAGCCTGGGAGGCCAAGTTTGCGGTGAGCCGAAATTACACCATTGCACTCCAGCCCGGGTGACAGAGCAAAACCCTGTCTCTGTAAACAATAATAAAATAAAAATAAAAGAGGCAAAAGTTTTCCAGCATCCAACATAAGGAAGGGTTATTATATCCATCCCCCATCACCTGACAGCTTGACCCCGATTTATCCCAGGTAGCGAGCTGCTGTGCCAGGCTTCTGAGCCTTTGTACATTCTGTTCCCTTCTCCCAGGATGCTTTTCCTCCTCTAAGCCCCCTGGCAAATCCTCAATTGTCCTTCAAGACTCCACTCAAATGTGGCCTTGGCTGTGAGACTTCATGATCCCCTAGGTCCCTGTCCTCACCTGGGCCTCCTGAATGATGGGCGTCCCCACCTTGCCTTCACAACCGTGCCCGACTCGAAGGGCAACAGTGGGCTGTCCACGTCCCTGTCTCTCCTGAACATAACTCAGGCATCACAGAATCCAGCCCCTTGCTTCCCAGATGAATTTATCCAGCAGCCCAAGTGAGCTGTTTAGAAACAGGTATCACATGGCACGCCTCCCTGTTTAAAACCTCTGGGAACTTCCAGTGGTACCCAGAATGAAACCCAGACCTCCGGCCACCACCTCCAAGACCATCTGCTCTCCAGCCCCTGCCTTGCTGCCCACTTGTGCCCCTTCCCTCTTCTCACCCGTCATTGCACTTCTTTGAAAATGCTGTCCTCAACTCAGGGCCTTTGCACCTGTTCTTCCCTCTGCTCTTCCCCTGCCCCCGTTTCTCCCCCTGAATGCAGGGGTTCTGAGTGCTGGCACTATGGACACTTTGGACTGGATGATTCCTTGTGGTGGGGGTGCCCTGTACATTGTAGGATGTTAGCAGCATCCCCCACTCCCCACTAGATGCCAGGAGCACCTTCCTCAGCTGTGACAACCGAAAATGTCTCCAGACGTTGCTAGATGTCCCCTCGGGGACCAAATCACCAAGAACCACTGACCTAACACCTACGTGTCTTTCAGATCTTTGTTCAAGTGTCACTGCCTTGGGAAGGCCTTCATGACTTACCCAAATTCAAGCAGACCTCCCCAGTACATGCCTTCCCAGGACCTTTTACAACGCTTAGCACAGTCTGTAATTATATGTTTGTTTGCCTAATTACTCACATAGTACTTGTCCCTCCCACTTAACCAAAGGAAGGAGGCAGCATTTTGTAGACTGTGATGTTCCTGGGTCCCTCACGGTGCCTGACACACAACAGGTGCTGAGTAAATAGTTATTAAGTGACTGTTGACACATAATAATGTTGGCAGACATTGCTGTAGCCGTTTCTATGTTCCAGACAACACTCTAGGTCTTTTGCAGATACCACTTCATTATCCTCCATGACTCCCCTTTAAGGGAGATGTTGTTATTCTCAACATTTTACAGATGAGATGAATGAGGCACAGAGAGGTTAGGTAACTTACCCAAGGTCACACAGCTGGTGGCATGTGGCAGAGACAAGATTTGAACCCAGGCAGTCTGGCTCAAGAGTCCTTGCCCTTAACTATTATTTATTAAGTGCCTACTATGTGCCGAGCTCTGGGGATACAGCAGTGAACAAGAACTACATAACCTAGTTTTTATGTATATATAAATACATCCACATACACACACACACATGAATTCCACTCAGGTCTCAAAAGGTGGCTCTGGCCAGGCATGGTGGCTCACACCTGTAATCCCAGCACTTTGGGAGACCGAGGCGGGTGGGTCACTTTAGGTCAGGCGTTTGCAACCAGCCTGGCCAATATGGCAAAACTCTGTCTCTACTAAAAATACAAAAATGAGTTGGGCATGGTGGTGCATGCCTGTAGTCTCAGCTACTCGGGAGGCTGAGGCTTGAGAATCCCTTGAACCTGGGAGGCAGAGGTTGCAGTAAGCCAAGATCACACCACTGCACTCCAGTGTGAGTGACAGAGCAAGATTCCGTCTCTAAATAGATAAATAAATAAATGGCTCAATTTACAGGTGCAGACACTCAGGCACAGAGACACTCAAACGTTGGCCAAGATCACACAGCCAGTTGGCAGCAGAACGCCTCTCCTTATTCTAGTCTTTGTGTGTGTCTCCTACTATACCATGTGTCCACAGGCTAGGGACACTTTGACAGTTTAACCAGTCAATTACAATAATATTTTTCTCTCAGAATGTTTAAAAGAAAAAAAAAGTTGGTTTGCAGAAGTATAATCATGGCTCAGAGGCCAAGCTGACATTAGTTATTAATTAGGCCATTATGCATTCCACAGTGATAATTGCCTTGCTGCAGAGTCACCAAGCATGAAACGGACCCAGCACAGAAACACAATCTATCAATCTGAGAAGTCGCAGCCCAGTTGCGTTCTCTCACCTTGAGTCGGGTGTACGCCTTAGCAGGAAACAAAAAGAAATTAATGATACATCGACAGGCAATAGGAAGCCGGACCCCTCACCAGTCCTGGCCCCAGGGTGGTTTTGTACCTGGCTGTAGGGATGGCATTTAAGCAAAGTTTATCATCGAAAATGGCCAATTCCCTTTGATTTAGCTGGTGGCAATCTTTTCATCTCCTTCCCTTTTTTTCCCATCTTGTTATTTAGGGAGAGAGGGAAAAGCCATTTCTCTTCCATCTGTTTGTCTCGCCTGTTGCTTTCTACAATGAGTGGGGTGGGGGAATGGCACCTGCCAGGGCTACCTGGGCCATCAGGAGTAAGTGCAGCATCTCTGTCTGTGTTCTGTGTCTGTCTGGGTTCTATCCCTGGTGTTGGTCGGGGAGGGAAGGAGACCCCCCTGCACCTGGAGCATTATCCTGGGGTCCTCCACAAAGACAGGGTCATTGTCAAGGGCAGCTGGAGGACAGTTTTAAGTGAAAACTTTGGGGTGCAAGAAACAAAAATGCGGCCAAGTGAGCTTCACAGCAGAATTGGTTATAATATTAGCTGTGCGCCAGCTATGCAGACCGTATCCTTCATTTAGTCCTCAGCAGTCCTGTGAGGGAAGTATTGCTATTCTCGCCACTTTACAGATGAAGAAACTGAGGCTTATCAAGGTGAGAGGATTTGCTTGAGGCCTCACAGCCAATGGTGGAGCTGGGATTTGAGCCCAGGCTCACTAGCACAGTGCTGTCCTGTGGCTCTCTGGCATGAGAGGCCAGACAAAGCAAAACTGGGCCTCCCAGAGGGTGGGACAAGCACCCAGGTGAACAGCCCAGAACCAAGGTGGGTGCTTCCCCCACAAGGGCTAGGGTCCCCCCTCCAGCCCTCTCTCTAGTCTGGCTTTCTCAGCTGCCCCATAGACTTTGGT
Source organism: Homo sapiens (assembly GCF_000001405.40). Lineage (NCBI taxonomy): Eukaryota > Metazoa > Chordata > Mammalia > Primates > Hominidae > Homo > Homo sapiens. The sequence continues at coordinate 111,240,389 of NC_000012.12, forward strand.
GGAAGGTACCCCCTGACAGCAGCTGCTTACCTTCTGGGTTCCCCCACAGCACTCAAGCTAACAACCCAGACCAGTCAAAATCAACCAGTTCTAAATACAAACTCCCGAGTTAATGAGTATCACCGGTCTAGCCTGAGATCAGTGTCAGCCCCTGGTCCAATCGGCTGAGGTCAGGACAATGCCTCGGTGCAAAAATGGCCACCACAGCCAATCTTAGGGGAGGAAAGAAGATCACAAATGAGCAGCCTGGCCATCCACCTCATCCACCCTCATGTCACTTACCACAGAGTTGTCCTAAAATTGAGTATGAATGCCTTGGATGGAGTCCAGTCTCCCCTCAGCCTCTCTTCTCATCTCCTCTGGGCTACTGCACCTCCTGGACTTAGCTACCTGTGAGGTTCCTGAAGACATTTGGGTTTTTGCTCTCTGGAGGAATGGTGGAGTGATTCTCAGCAAACAGAAATGTTAGGTATCTATTAATACCTCAGGGTCTAGAAAGCTCTGCAGGTGTGCCGATGCCAACCAGCCCCATGTCAGCAGTTGGGCAGAGATGCCACCAGGTAGAGCCACCCAGGAGGCTAGTGGAGAGGGGCCTGTCTTAGTCCGTTTTGTGTTGCTATCATAAAATACCTGAGGCTGGGTAATGTATAAAGAAAAGAGGGTTACTTGGCTCACCGTTCTGATGGCTGCAAAGTTCAAGTTTGGGAAGCCGCATCTGGTGAGGGCCACCTTCCTCTTGGGGTGGTAGGTGGAAGGGGAGAGGGCGTATGCAGAGATCACATGGTGAGAGAGGAAACAAGAGAGAGAAACCAAGGAAGCAAGACTCTTTCACAACCTGCTCTCAGGAAATAATCCATTCCCAAGAGAGGACATTAATCTATTCATGAGAGATCCACCCCCACGGCCCAAACACTTCTCACTAGGCCCCGACTCCCAATACTGCTGCATTGGGGATCAAACTTCAACATGAGTTTTGATGGGGACAAGCCATGTCCAAACCATAGCAGAGCCCAATAGTCTGCAGTTTGTCCAGAAGTCAAGATAAAGAAATACATGCTGCTGAGAATGGGTTGCTTCCAGTTCTAGCCCATTGGAGCCAAGCCCTGATGTCATCTTGTTTCATTCTTCCACATGCTTTTCCTAGGATCAAGACTTAACACCCCCACCCCACCCCCAGGTTCCCTGTGAAAGGGGAGCACCTGCTCCAAGGAGCCCTACTCCAACAGTTGAGAGTTAATTTTCATTTCAAACAACATGGCGGCCAAGACTGGATGTAGACATCCCACGTTGGCCCGACCCCATGGCTCATTCAACCCATGTTTCTGGCCAGGCCCTTGAGGGGCAGCTGGAGCAATCTGCTTCTTCCATGATACTGATCATCAGAACTTGGGCTGGCCAGCTTCCTGGGACCACCCCTGACAGCGTGACACTTTACAAAACTCAGCCTTCAGCTATGCAGTCTTAGGAAGCAGATCTCATGAGCTGACTCCTTATTGTGTGAAGTAGGACTCATGTCTCTGTTCTAAGTTTTCCTCTTTCAATGTACAAGATGGGCTGATAGTTTGAAAAGTCATGAAAAGACCATGTTTTCTCATCCTTGCTTTCTTTGCTTGACAGGGGCAGACATAATTGTTCATCATTTCAACAAATATTTATTGGGCTTCTATTATGTGCCAGATGCTGTTCTAAGCAGTGAACAAAATGTTCTAGCAGAGTATGACAGATCAATAACAGTATCACCTGCTATTTGTTGAGGACCTACTACTCACTTTGACACTGGGCCAAGCCCAATTCATTATCGCATTGAATCCTGGCCTGATACAGAACTGTTATTATCCCCATCTTACAGGGGAGGAAACCTTAAAGGTTGAGTGACTTTCCTAAGTTGCAACAGCAAATAAGTGATGAAACTGAATCCTTCAAGACCAGAGGTTGGCAAATTATAGCCCGTGGGCCAAATAAAGTTTTATTGGAACACAGCCATGCACATTCGTTCACATATTTCCTGCAGCTGCTTTCCCACGACAAGGGCAGAGTTGAGGAGTTGCAACAGAGATCAGGTGGCCTGAAAAGCTGAAAATACTTGCTCCGTGGCTCTTGATGAAACAGGTTTGCTGATCTGTGTTCCTAGATTAGATTTGTAGGCCAGACATGGTGGCTCACGCCTGTAATCCCAGCAGTTTGGGAGACCGAGGTGGGCAGATCACCTTAGGTCAGGAATTCAAGACCAGCCTGGCCAACATGGTGAAACCCCATCTCTACTAAAAATACAAAAATTAGCCAGGCGTGGTGGTGCATGCCTGTAATCCCAGGTACTCCAGAGGCTGAGGCAGGAGAATCGCTTGAACCTGGGAGGCAGAGGTTGCAGTGAGTCGAGATTCCACCACTGCATTCCAGCCGGGGCAGCTGCATCCATCAACCCATCATCTATATTAGGTTTTTCTCCTAATGCTATCCTTCCCCTAGTCCCCCACCCCATGACAGGCCCTGGTGTGTGATGTTCCCTTCCCTGTGTCCATGTGTTCTCATTGTTCAACTCCCACTTACGAGTGTGAACATGAGGTGTTTGATTTTCTCTCCCTGTGTTAGTTTGCTGAATATGATGGTTTCCAGTTTCATCCATGTCCCTGCAAAGGATATGAACTCATCCTTTTTTATGGCTGCATAGTATTCCATGGTGTATATGTGCCACATTTTCTTTATCCAGTCTATCATTGATGGGCATTTTGGTAGGTTTTCTTTTACTCTTTATTATGGAAAAAATCCAGCATACAAAAGTAAAGAGAATAAAATAATTGGTCAGTCCCATGGACCCAGTTTCAACAACTATTCCTGCATAGCCACCTTCCTCTCACACCTCTAGATTATTTTGAAGAAAACTCAAGTCATTGTATCATTTTACCTGTAAATATTTTAGTATATATTTCTGAAAAAAGGAATCTCTTTTTAAATGTAACCACAATATGATCTACCCTCAAAATTTTAATAGTACTTTCTTAATGTCATCAAATACCCAGTGTCCCTGGTTAGCCCTCCCATTTTTTGAAACAGATTTTTGTTTATATCAGGACTCAAATAGGTTCACACATTATGATTGGTTGATGTGCCTTTTTTTTTTTTTTTTTTTTTTTTTGAGACAGGGTCTCGCTCTGTTGCCCAGGCTGGAGTGCAGTGGTGCAATCATAGCTCACTGCAGCCTCAAATTCCTGGGCTCAAGTGATCCTCCCACCTCAGCCTCCCAAGTAGCTGGGACTACGGGCATGCACCACCATGTCTGGCTAAGATGTACCTCTTAAGTAGAGTGATCAACTGTCACAGCTTGGCCCTGGACTGAGGGGTTCCCGGCAAGCAGAACTTTCAGTTTTAAAACTGGGAAGGTCTTGAGGTGCACAAATTTCCATGCTAAAACCAAGAAAGTCCCAGGCAAACTGAGACAAGTTGGTCAAGCCATGTCTTCTCATCTGTAAGCTCCCTGTCCATCCCTTCCTGTATGTGTGTGTGCATGTGTGTTCGTGAGCACATGTGCCTGCTCTTTGTATGTGGAAGTGACCAGAACAGTTTTTCCTAAAAACTTTCCTCTGACTGCAGCTGATTGGACCAGGGGCTGATGCTGGTCTCAAGCTAAGCCAATGATATTCATTATCCCAGGAGTTTGAATTCAGAACTGGTTGGTTTTGACTGGTCTGGGTTATTAGCTTTTTGGGTTTTTTTTTGTTTTTGTTTTTTTAAAGAGGCAGAGTTCCCCAGGCTGGTCTCGAAATCCTGGGCTCAAGCAATCCTCCTACCTTGGCCTCCCAAACTGGGTTGTTAGCATGGGTGCTGTAGGGTGAACCCAGAAGCTGAGGCAGCCATTGTGATGGGCACTTTCCACCCAGGAAGTGTGTGGGGCAGCTGAGAAAGTCGGCCTAGAGAGGGGGCTGCAGGAGGGACCTCACCCCTAGTGGGGAAGTACCCACCTTGGTTCTGGGCTGTTCTTCTGGGTGCTTGTCCCGTCCTCTGGGAAGCCCAGCTGTGCTTTCTCCAGCTCCCCATGTTGTCGCTAGATAGCACTGTGCTCATGAGCTTGGGTTCAATCCCAGCTCTGTCCGGAGCTGCAAGACATTGAGCAAGTTCCGTTACCTCTAGCTGAGATTTTGCTGATCACGACCCCGTGGTGTCATTTAACTTGTTCTTCCATCCTTGTATTTGCTATGTATGAGCAGTTGGATCTAGAGGCATGATCAGGTTCAGGTTCAATGTTTTTAGCAAATCTACTTACAGGTAATGCTGGGCACTTCCATCAGGATTTTCCCAGTGTACAGCCTAGTCAATCCCAAGGCAGGGGCAGGGGGCAATTGGTAGCAAGGTCAGGACTGATCAGAACAGAACAGTTGAGGCTGCCTGGGGTTGCATAAACTCCTCTCCCCCAGGGTGTCAGGAAACCTCAGCCCATGTCATTGGTCATTAATGAAAGCAGAAACCAGATTTCATTGCTGTGCAAGGTAATTAAATTACTTCAAAAATCTACTCACACATGATTATTTCCATGCTTCCCACCAAATACATGCCTCTCCCTCATTTGCTGCCATCCTGGGCTCTTAGCTGGGAGCAATGAAGGCTGTTGTGGGGGCTTCTCAAGGCTGCTTGTCTTTGAGAAACAGAATGAAAAATGGGGTCCCCATCCAAGCCCCCCTACTCTGAGAAATGGAAGCAACTTCTCCCCACAGAGCATAGGGGATACAGCACCATTTGTATTTCCAACCCAAGGTGAACTGTTCTTGGTATTTTTTTCCCTTATAAATCATGTTGTTTCAAAGTTTTGTTCTATGGTATGGCAGGAGGTGAGAAGGAGAGCAGAAAAAATGCTTATATTAAATTGGTGGTGCAGCCAGGCACAGTGACTCACGCTCGTAATCCCAGCACTTTGGGAGGCCAAGGCAGGAGGATCACTTGAGCCCAGGAGTTTGAGACCACCCTGGGCAACATAGTGAGACCCCCATCTCTACCCAAAAAAAAAAATTTTTTTTTACTTTTTTCTTAATTTTTTTCCATTGTTTTGATGCTATCTATCTAGTCATCCAGAAGCACAATTTTTCTTTTTTTAATAAACCAGACATGGTGGCACACCCCTGTGTTCCCACCTACTCCAGAGGCTGAGGTGGGAGGATCACTTGAGCCCAGGAGATCGAGGCTGCAGTGAGCCATGATTACACCACTGCACCAGTCTGGGCAACAGAGCGAGACCCTGTCTCAAAGAAAAATGATGCTGCTGGTATTCCTGGGAAAAAGAGAATGAGAAAACAATAAGGAGCATTCGAGCTAAGAGGTTTTCTCTGCGTTTTGTGTCAGGTGCAAGGGGACAGGGTAGGGACAGAGGAAAAGGAGCTGGGTATGCCCCACCCAAGTGCCTCCTGTTTGTGTCCAGGTCCACAACCTGGACACAAACAGAAAAGTAGGACCAGGGTGGCGTTTCATCCCCAAAGCAGAGTTGCAACCTCAGTTACCCACGGGGGCCTGGCAGGTGCACAAAATGGACAACGCAGGCACAGATGAGACAACAGGGAGGCGTGGGGACTGGGGCAGGTGGGGACTCTGTAAGCCATCTGAAGGAGTGGCCTGTACCCCGCTCAGGCAGATTAAAGCAGTCTGGTCTTGCAGCTCATTTCAGGAGCTGAGAGCACAAACTTCAGGGCCAAGCTGCTCTGTCTCCCGATCCCTACTCTGCCAGCTTTCCTAGCTGCATGACCCGGGGCAAGTCTCTTGACTTCTCTGCGCCTCAGTTTCCTCATCTGGAAAGTAGAAATGATAACCGCACCTGCCACTGGTGTGACACAGAGATTCATATAGTGAACGCCACCATCAGTGACACTGATTGCATGAAATCTGCCATGGTGGGAGTATTTACACCACAGCCATTGGCAGACACTACAAATCAGACCTTTTTTATTTTTTCTCACCAGTCAGCCACTTGTTAAACCTTTACCAGCACAGGCACCTTCCTCACAGGGCTTTTAGGATGATTTCTAGACTTAATACATATAAAGCACTTAAAACGGTGCCCAGCACACTGGCCACCCTCCAATTCACTGTATTCCTCTTTGTGTGATCAATGTGATTATAATGGGGGAACGTGACACTACTGTGGCCACATCTTCCAATTCTTCCAGAGAAGCTGGAAATCTTGATTTTTATGCAAAAAACAAAAATCTCCGGATTCTTAAAGATTGGCTAACATCAATCATTTTTAAAACCTGAGCAAAACAAAGTGCATGTGGAATTTGGACCACAGACTCCACGTTTGCAAAGTTGGACTTAGAGGAATGGACTGTGGGTGTTGTCTGGCAAGGCGAGGTCCTTTCTCACCTCTCACCTTTGTATGCAACTGCTCTCCCTCCTGTTGAATCAACGGCCTGCCTCTCTTGTGTGAGCCTGTGCCTCTTCCTCCTTGAAGCCCTCCTAGCTGTGCCCTGCAGGGTACATGACTCCGTCCTTGACTGTCCCTCCTCAAAGCGCTGCTTCCCTGCCACCCTCTGCTGTGGTCTATGTCTTTCTGACTCTAGGACTGAGGGGCTGGGGCTGTGTTTTGTTCATCTTGGCATAGGGCTGTGTACATCAAGGATCATAATGATAATAAAATCAACATCTATTGAGTATCTTCTGTTTGCTAGGCTATGTGCTAAGCACCTTTTATGTATCATCACCTTAATCCTGATGATAACCCTCAGATGTGGATATTTGTGCCCAAGGCCACAAAGAGGGAGGCATTTACTGGGAATCAAACCCAGGCTCCTCACCTCTGGAGCCCACTGCAGACGGCTGAGTCCATAGCGAGCACCGCACGTGGAAAGTTAGGCAGCAAGGACCCCGGCTAGACTGGGCTGGGATCAGACAGTGGAGGGCATGCATGCCCGGCTGAGGCTCTCCCGGGGCTGTCTCCAGCCACACTCCACAGATACGTCCAGAAAGGACGCTGCTATATTTAAAAGCCTGGGCAGGGTAGCACTTCAGTGACATTTGGGCAGCCGCCTTTCCAGAAAGGGCAGACATGTTCTTTTAGCTCCGCTCTTCTGAGCTGGTATTTCGGAGAACTTGTCAGGATCACTGCAAAGGGGAGGCCGCTGCCACTTGGGATCCCTGCAGCCTTCCCAGAGACATGGCTACTGCAGCACAGGGCTGAGAGAGCACAGGGTGGCGAGAGTTCATGGGCCAGGTCAGGATCACCAAGCCAGGTCAGGGGGCAGCAGGTGTCACTGGGGCCTGGCATGTAGACCCTGGACAGCCCCAAGTCTCAAGAGGGCGCCTGTTGCTGGGGGCAGGATGGGGAGAGGGGTTCTTGGCATTGCTGACCCTCTGCCCACGCTCTGGTTTTTTGGCTTCAGCCCTCATGTTCCAGGGGCGTCCACCCCTCATGTTCCCCCTAGATGATGTCATCTTCTCACACACCCTCACAACCCTTTGGCCAGAAATTCCAAGAACCGTCTGTGGCCTGGCCAACCTCACCCTGTGTTTAACAGTGAACAAAGCATATCTTTTGTTTGTTTGTTTCTTTGTTTTTGAGACAGAGTCTCTTGCTCTGTCACCCAGGCTAGAGTGCAGTGGTGCAATCTTGGCTCACTGCAGCCTCAGACTCTGGGTTCAA